>NC_000004.12:94981987-95285017 GCF_000001405.40 Homo sapiens | reverse complement strand
TGATATTTTCTCCTAGTCTTCTAAAATCAGCAGGGCTCAAAGGTGGAGAGATGTTAGTATGACCCATGACAATAGAGCCTCCACTTTCCTATTATAGGTCACACTCACCCTTTTCAGACAGTGACAGGCAAAGTTGCTCAAGAGATGGCACTGGGAAGAGGCAGGATGTTCTGCCCCTTTTGTAAATACGCACATTGGCATGACAGGCTTTCTTCCACACTGTTTTGGATAGGCATTTTCCTCCCCTATCCTCTCTGTCCCATGGAGACAGACAATTAGTTTTGTCAAAATAATTCTTAGTGCATTTACAATCATCAGGGCCTGAATTTTCATCTGCTTTTGTGGATTACATTATATTACTCTCCAGGATTTATACAAAGAATTTGCTAATTTTTTTAAATACCAAATTTCTGTAACCCACTTCTCTCCCTAGTTTCTAACTCTTACTCACACCTGTAGATCCAAGTGTCCAAAAAGTTCTGTGAAAGTCGTTCTGAGGAGAATATTATAAGCTGTTGTCTTCAAAGATGCGTCAACTCCTTGACTTTTGAAATAATTTCTTCTATTATTTCTCTTGGACACATAATGGCAACCAAGAAGTACCTTACTCCACAAAGGATAAGCTTTTCCCCCCTAAAATGTGTATTTAAAATCTCAGTCTGTTCAGTAATAGGTCCTTACAGCAAAATCATCCTTCAGAATTATCTAGTAATTCATTTTCATTTCGTAAATATGGAAACTGAAGGCCAGAAAATCTGTCTCCCAGTGAGTCTTCTTTTCTGCTAACTGCATTTTTTTGTCAAAAAGCAGAGCTAATGTTTGCAGAATGCCATGAATCATGTATTCTGCATCACAGCTAATTTGTAGCCACAGTATATTGTGCAAAAAAAAAATCACTGAAAGCATCAAAATTCTACCACCCAAAAAATGAGACTTTGTATGCACATGTGTGTGTCCAAAGGGACTTTCTTTGGTTATGTATAAATGGAAAATAGAAATCTATATTGTTTCAGGTCTGATTCTACATCTGCTAATTGGATTTCAGTGTATGGATTTATTAAGCCAATATTCATGTTCTTAAGTAAACATCTCTCTGAAAGCATACATATGACGATAGCTTTTAATTGGCAGAATCAATGACTAAATTAGATGCATGCCAAGTTGACTTTGCAAAAGTAATCTAGGTTATTAATGAAAGGACTTCATACTTAATTTTAGTAGCAGTCTTATAACTAATGGAAAGAAAGCAGAATGTAGAATCCTAAAGGTCTTCCAAGGGCAGAACTTCGTCTTTTTTTTCTGACAGGAATGGCCACATTATTCTGAACCATTCTGTTTTACATCTAATTCCCAGCTGACAAGTGTTCGTTTTTCATTCTTATTCATTCGTCACCCCTGTGTTCACTCTGCCTGCAAGGCAACTGGCCTGCCTTCTATCACATCTCTCCAGATGATAAAAGATATGCTTAAAATCTTATCTACCCTCCCTTCGCAGAGTAGCGAGGCAGCATGCTGAAATGAGCGGCTTCTGTGCTGCACGGCCGCGATATATCCTATGCTCATTACACAATCTGAAAGCCAGAGAGGAGGTTTTACGGCAGGAATTAAAAGCGTTTTTCAGGAAGAAGTATTGCCTTGTAGGGGGTTAAATGTGAGATCATTCTAGAAATTAGATAAAATTTACATAGAGCTTAAAGCCAAACCCTTAAAATAATTCTGTGGTATTCAGTGATGGTTTAGTTAAACCTGTCTCTGGAAGTAGATGCCTGTAGCTGTCGCCATTCTCAATTAGGAAATAAGGGCCTACATAAAATGTGCCTTTATATGGCAAGAATTAGAAAACTGTGCCAAAAATTGCACCATATTCTAAGAAGAATTACAGCATGCTGCACTCAAACCCACTGCCCGTTAATGGTGCTACTAACTTCTGTCACCTTAAAATTTTGGAAAAGAGTAGTAGATACCATTGGGACTTAGAAAACAATACCCCAAAATGAAGGCCTCAGAAGCAAAAGTTTTCTCTGACCTTCTCCTGCCCTCCTGTCTCTCAGTCCATTCTTCCCCAAGACCAGCCATGGAAAAGACAATCCCTCTTCCCCCGAGGCGAGTCATAGAAACCCCCTTAGTCCAAAACCAGCCACAAAACTGAAAAATATTATTCTAAATTTCCATCCTCCATTTTGTGTAAAAAGTGACCATAAAAAATTTATCTAACCTACCTTGTGTGATCATAGGTCATAAGACCCCCATTCCAGAGAGGGTCCTGCCTGACACCCAGATGAAGGAAGGAATGAATGCTCAGAGAGGCCAGGAAGAATCTAGACCCACAGTCTTGCTGGGCCTCTCCACTTAGTCTGTTAACATTAGGTCAGATTCTTTTTGTCCAATCATATTTCTACATGGCTGTCCAGACTTTGTTGAACGGAAGCATAAAAATGGACAATTATCCCTGGATCTTTATGTCTTCATTCCAAAGGCTCCCATGTGTACATGTTAAATAAAATTTGTCTGTCTTCTCTCCAATTAATCTGCCTTTTGTGACTTAGTTGATTTTCCAGTGAACCTTCAGAGGGCTAAGGAGAACTTTTCCCTCCGCCCCTACAGTACCCAGAATGGTCATTTCCCCACTTCCTGGCCACTCCTCATCACAACTTGGTTTCTGCTCCCGGTCACTCCTAAACTTCCCAGACCAATGACTTCTCTCCTATGAGTACTTCTGAGTCCTTCACTGCATTTCTCCTATTGACCTCCCCATTTTTTAAAATTTTATTTTCCTCTTGGCTGCTCTGATGCTAACTTCCTTGGGTTTTCTCCTACCGCTTTGTTCACTCTATATCATTGGATGACAGCTTTTCCTCTTGAATGTCACTGTCCTCTTTTTTTTATGCTGCAGTCTCTCCCTGGTGATGCCATCTGTTTCCAGTGCTTCAGCGATTGCCTAGTTGGTGAAGCACAAGAAATCCTACCAGGCCTTCTTTTCCAAGCCCTAGACCTGTGGTTCTCAACTGGGGGTGACTTTTCCCCTTAGGGGACATTTGGCATTGTCTGAAGGCACTTATTTTGTTAAGGTTGGGATGGGGTTCTAATGGTCTCTAGCAGGTAGAGTCCAGGGATGTTGCCAAGTATCCTGCTATGCAAAGAACAACTGTACCGCAAAGAATTACCCAGTCCCCAAAATTAAAAGGGTTGAGGTTTAGGAACCATGATCTAGACTACTATACTTTTCAGTTTGAATGTTTCATAGATATGCCAAACCTAACATGTACCAAAATGAATTTATCTTTCTCTCTGCTTCCCTGCCCATCTTGATACTATGCCACTCAGTGTTTGTACCAAGTTAACAATGCAGTAGCTGAGAATATAACATTATCCTTGCCTTCTGGCGCTCTCCAAATACCTACATCTTCTTCAAGGTATGATATATTTATTTCTAGAATTGCTTCCTCCTCTTCCTGTCCTCTATCACTAGCTGAGTTCAGGACCCCATCATCCCTCATGGTTTATTCAAATGAGTCCCTAACTAACTTCAGGCTCCTCACCACCGCCTCACTCCATCAGTCACTCTGATGGACACCCTTGTTCTCTGATCTTGCTCCTTTGAGGGTTTGCCTTTCCATAGCATGACAGAAAGGCTTTTCATAAGCACACCTCAGCTTACCTTTCTAGTCTTCTTTCTGTGTCTTGTACATCTTCATCCTAAGTACCTAATAAAATGTCTACCATATGGAGACAATGAATAAATGTTAAATGAAATTGCTCTATTTAAATACATATATGCCTTACTTTTTCTTGTTCTTAGCCCTCATTTTGTGATATCTTGATTAATTTAAATCAGAGTGAGTCACTATGTTATTTAATTTGAGAACTCATTCCAGTTATTATGTCTTTGCCCAACCCCACATCAGGCAGAAGTTTCTCAGAATCATTTTTTACAAACAAGATATACTTTGTCAAGAACATTGAAGCTCATAAATGATATTCACTGCTGCTCTTTTTATTGGTATCTGGTGTTTCATCAAATTTTATCTCAGTGCAGATCAAAAAAACAAGAGAAGCCACCACATCAGAAGAGAAAATTCTTAATGTTTCCATTGGAAGAGTACAAATTAACCAAAAGAGATGTCGGGGGATGTGTGGGGTGGCAAAATGTAGAAAATCCGTATCAGCAGGTTCTAAGGCAGCCATTGATTATTATGCTGTGAGGCTCCAGGTAATTTGGTCAACATGTTTTTTGGAAGTAAGATAATGACATGGTTTAGATAACTTTAAAGTTATGATAACTCTGTGGATTCCAAATGTTCATTTCTTGTTGTTGTTGTTGTTGTTGTTGAGATGGGGTCTCACTCTTTCACCCAGGCTGGAGTACAGTGGTGCAATCTTGGCTCGCTGCAACCTCCGCCTCCTGGGTTCAAGCAATTCTTATGCCTCAGCTTCCCGAGTAGCTAGGACTACAGGCCCACGCCACCATGCCAAGCTAATTTTTGTATTTTTAGTAGAGACTGGGTTTCACCATGTTGGCCAGGCTGGTCTCAAACTCCTGACCTCAGGTGATTCACCTGCCTTGGCCTCCCAAAGTACTGGGATTACAGGCATAAGCCACTGTGCCTGGCCCCAAATGTTCATTTCTACAATATATTCAATGTCTTGACAATCAAATTAGAAGCATTTTTCTGATAGAAATTCTATCACATTTGGAGGTCTCTTGTCTTGCCTCAGACCCTCATAGATCTATGATTTTCTCACAACCTTTATAATCTTGAGGGTTTTCTTCTGCTGAGAAATTCAACAATATGGCAAATGTGTAACAATGCAGTCCTTTCTCAGTGCATTTTTTTCCAGGTGCTTTCTGGTAGAGCTCTATTAGGGATATACCTTGCGAGCAGGGGTCACAACCCCTGGGCTGAGAACTGGTACTGGTCCGTGGTCTGTTAGGAGCTGGTCGCACAGCAGGAGGTGAGCAGGCTAGTGAGCATTAACACCTGAGCTCTGCCTCCTGTCAGATCAGTGGTGGCATTAGATTCTCACGGGAGCATGAACCCTATGTGAACTACAGATGCGAAGGATATAGGTTGCACACTTCTTATGAGAATCAAACTAATGTCTGATGATCTGAGGTGGAACAGTTTCATCCCAAAGCCATCCCCCCCATGCCCCGCCCCAGCAGTCAGTGGAAAAATTATCTGCCATGAAACCAGTCCCTAGTGTCAAAAAGGTTAGGGACCACTGCTCTAGAGTCTTCAGGTTTCCACTCGCTAGTTCAATCCACTGCAATGCTGCTTTCAGATTCTTATGTCTTTATCAGGGACCTGGGATAACAGAACAGAGGCATTAATTTTTTATTAAAATTCACTGGGTAAAATTCTAATAACTCTTTAATGGAAGGAACTGAACTGTACATGCATGAAATAAAATTTTTGTAGGCATTTTAAAAAAATGCTGCTTCAAAGTTCTATGATTAAATTAATTTTCTAACTTTAGAAATTAGACTAAATGTATATAGAGTTTAAAGCCAAACCATTAAAACAAAATAATTATATGGTATTCAGGGATGATTTAGTTAAACCTATCTCTTGAAGTATGTGCCTCTGATGTGTTTAAAATGACAAACTGGCTTCTAACATTTTTGTGCCCATCTAACAACAGTTTGTAAAACTCAGCTGCATACTCCTGTATCAACTATATCTATATAAATACATAATTAGATGCCTGGGATATGTGAGCAGAAATGACTAGTCTTCTAATTAAAGAATGGCCATATGATTAAATGTAGTGATATCTTGGGACTGTTCTCAATTCTCTTTTCTCTGCCTTGTACTTGAGACACCTGAAGAAGTTATGTTTCTTCCTTATAGATTCCAGCATTCTGTTTTCCACTTTGAAATGGAAACTCACTTAGAGTATTAATCAAAAGATTCCAGAGTTACTGGAGCTTCAGTAGTATCCATTGTGAGAAAAGAGGAAAATATGTATATACATAAGGGAATCTGTAGGCATAAGAATCAAGAGAATGGGGTTCTTTTGATTTAAAACTGTGATCATCATAATTGATGATCAAAAAATCCTAACAAAAAGCAATTAATGAACTTTATTAATTGTTAAAATAAGGACTGCCAAAGGCTTCCATTGAAGTTTAAAGTAGGAACAGTTCATAACCTCTGAATTTCACAATTTATTCCACATAATATAGTCACCAGATTATAGTAAAGTGCTAACAACATGTGGTTAAACAAAAATGCAAGTCCAGGCACCATGGCTCACACCTGTAGACCCAGCACTTTGGGAGGCTGAGGTGGGAGGATCACTTGAAGTCAGGAGTTTGAGACCAGCCTGGGAAACATAGTGAGACTCTATCTCTACAAAAAATTTTTTTAAAAAAATAGCCAAGCATGCTAGCATGCACCTGTAGTCCCAGCCACTCAGAAGGCTGAGGCAGGAGGATCGCTTGAGCCCAGGAGTTCAAAACTACAGTGAGCTGTGATCACACCACTGCACTCCAGCCTGGGACACAGAGTGAGACCCTGTCTCAAAAAAAAAAAGAAAAAAGAAAGAAAAAAAAGCACAGATAAAATACTAAGCCAGAAAATTTTTTGTACTCTCTGTAAATGAGAAAATGTTGTTTAATTTTGACATGTATTTTGTCACTTTTACGTTCCAGATCTACGGAAGACATTTGAGCAGGAACCCCTAGGAAAGGAAGTGTCTTTGGAACAGGAAGTCTTACTCCAGTGTCGACCACCTGAAGGGATCCCAGTGGCTGAGGTGAATAACAACAATTCTTTGCATTTAGCAATTGGCACTAAGTTATTCTAACAGAGGCCTAATCCATGGCTAATGGTGCAGTGAATTAGGGTATGGCATGATGAATGGTTGGTAATAGAGTCCTAACTGCCTGCTGCTGGCAAAATAGATTGATTGGGAACTGATTAATGACTTGGGAGTCAATTAGAATGCCCCATTGGACAAAGCCACAGGCAGCTTGGTTTAGTTTTGTCATTCTCTTTCAAGAAATCAGAAATACTGCTTTATTTTGTCTGGCACTTATCATAGAGAGATGGTATGACTTAACAATGTGCCATCAATTTTATTATTGTTCTTGCTGATATGCGAAAAATGTGAGTGTAAGAAGAGAGTGTGTTTTTCTGTGTCTGTGAGCCTGTGCACCTTACATATGTATTTTCCATTCCATGATGAAGTCATAGACATACCTAAAAGCCATGCCCACACACCTTGCATAAAAACACATTTTAGGAGTAAAAGGTGTCAATTAGTTTCATCCTATAAACTTTCCATCAAGTCCTACATTTTCCACTTTTTGTTTCTGCTAGAACAAAGCCTATTGGTTGCTAATGAAGTATTACAAATCAGATGCATACCATGACTTTTCATTAGCAACACACAATACCATGTCCTTTGAAAATATCTCTCTTTGGGGAAGAGGACTCTGTGACCCAGAAGAGATTGCAAGCACTCACCATCATCTTAGATCACACTGTTGAGGAAAACTAATACTGTGTCTTTCATTTGTTAACAAATAAATCCTAAACTCTAAAAACAGGTTACCCTTTAAATGATTATTAGGAGACATCCTTATATGCATCTGACACTATTGCCCTAATTGACCCCGTGTCCTACAAGTCCAAGCACACATTAATTTGACAAGTGGCATAGCTGCCAGTTTGGTGGTGGTCCTTGTTGGCCTCCAAACTACACTGAGTCATTTGAAAGTTTTACTCTCTATTGCATGTGTTGAAAGAGGCATATTTCAGTTGTTGCAATTGGGACCTATATATGGGTTCAATGTATATGAATTTTTAAAAATTAAGCCCTGAAGTTGTGCCTATCTCTGAAACGGAAAAATAATACTAATGAGACTTTCAACATAGTCCATAAAGCAATTAATAATTAATAATGTACTTACTATTTTACTTCTCATAGTTTTCCATTTTTTTCAAGAAGTAAAGATGGGGTCAGGTAGTTAGCTGGTCCCCTGACAACAAGCTCAAACATCTGATTGTTCTTTTAATAGTAATAATAATAATTAATTGAAAATTTAGGCAGAGTCCTTATGAAATAACCCCATTTTTCTATCACAGCCATTCATATCTCTATGAGTCAATGCAAAGAACTCAAAGGAAATTTTAATGAAATTCCTTTTTTTTTACTTTGAAAGAGAGTTATTTTTTTGCCTTAATTTGGCATCTCATGCCAATTGTATCAGAGATTTTGCTTGATAGTAGCTATTTCATTCAACAGCATCAAAACCTTATCTCGCAGCACTAAGACACAGTATGATTTAATACGACTAGGAAGGAGAAAACTCTTCTCTATTCAATATTTCATTTTGATAATGACAATAGTGCATATGTCTTCTTAATGGTATTTCTAAAATATTAATGCACACCTCCTCCATGAAACCACCTTAAAACCCAAAACAGATCATGAGCAACATGGGTATCCATGGCATCATTTTTGCTCAGGGCTTCTAAAAGGTAACTGATCCTTGCAAAGACTTTAGGTGGGGGGAGATCTTAGTAATTTCTTCATTTTTTTCAGTCTCCTTGACAAAGTAGTTCACTTTGTCAAGGAGTAAAGATTCATGACTGCAAACTAATTGGCTGTGAATTCTATTTGTATCATCACTAGGGAAGAGACCAATTAAAACTTGGCAAGCTCAAAAATCATATACCCATTTGACATTCAAAGAACTATATTTAATATGCATTTCTTTTTCATTTTTTAAAGTCAGAAGAGAGATCAAACATACATGCTCAAGAGCAGGCTAATAAATTCCTGTGTAGATTCTTTTCAACACTATTAAAATCACCAAGATCAGAAAACTAATGAATACCTTAACATGACATATTACAACTGCCATTTGCTCAAGAGGAGCAGATACGTTAAAAAAGAAAGGGATGAAAGGTAACTTAGTGAGTTAAAGGATTATACGACCATTTTCCTTCTAATATAAATGCATTCATTATTTAATATTTCATTTATTTGTTTAAAGAATCTTTAAGCATAAAAATAGGATAAAGTGAAATATTGATCTTAAAGGAAAACCAGCAGGTAAAACTCATGTGTTTTGTAATAATTAGATCAGTCGTTGGGAGATGAGGCCAGACTGGATTTGTGCTCCTTTTGTCTCCAAGGCAAATGATTCCAAGAAAGAGTCAGGCAAAATATGTTCAATGAACATATGGCTGATTGTTTCAATTGATCTTTGTTGTATAAGCATATGGCTAGTTCTATTGAGGAAGTAGTCAGGTACATTCTTTGCAGAATGTCAGGAAGCAGTAATTCCTTTTCTCTCCAAATCAATAAGTTTTTCAAGAACTCTAGTCTTAGTTTTGATATACCACTTTGGCTACAAATAATGGCATAGGCATTTCTAAGGTAATAATATTTTACTTCTTCCCTATTTTGGCATCCTATAGTCTCCACCATAGAATGTTTTCTAATTTTCTTACAGAATTCCAGGTTCAAACCCAAACATCACCATTTTTTACTTTGGCCAAAGTATTTAAATACTGTGAACCAAAGTATCCTCAACTATAAAGGGGAGATAATAATAGTGTCTTTGCAGAATGTGGTTGTGAGGTTTAAATGAGATAATATATGCAAATCACTTAGAACATGTCAAAAGCACTCAAGAAACATTGGTACTATTGTTATATTATAATTTTTTAATTCACACAAGACCAAACTCAACCTCTTAAATTCAAAATTCTTACTGAGTACCTTGCCCCTCTTCTTGGCACTGTGGGGTATGCAGAGGGGAAGCTTCTGTCACCAAGATTCTCTCCTATGTTCTCTAGTCAGTTGCTTTGGCTGGAGTCCACACACGCTACAAATGAAGACAATATTGTGAGCTTTAAAATAAGGAAATGCTCTTTCAACAACACTACCAAATAATTGGTTAATGAAACTATTTATAGCAAGTCATGGTGTACTGCTGCCCTTACCCTGATGTTTTGTTTTGTTTTGTTTTGTTT
Organism: Homo sapiens; assembly: GCF_000001405.40. Lineage (NCBI taxonomy): Eukaryota > Metazoa > Chordata > Mammalia > Primates > Hominidae > Homo > Homo sapiens. The sequence continues at coordinate 95,275,025 of NC_000004.12, read as the reverse complement.
GACACGGAGTCTTGCTCTGTCATCCAGACTGGAGTGCAGTGGCGTGATCTTGGCTCACTGCAACCTCCACCTCCCGGGTTCAAGCAATTCTCATGCCTCAGCCTTCTGGGTAGCTGGAATTACAGGCGCACATCACCACGCATGGCTAGTTTTTGTATTTTTAGTAGAGACGGGGTTTCACTATGTTGGCCAGGCCGATCTCAAACTCCATGCCTTAAGTGATCTGCTTGCCTCAGCCTCTCAAAGTGCTGGGATTACAGGTGTGAGCTACCACGCCTGGCCCCTTACCCTGATCTTTAAAGCTACTATTGTTCATTCAGTCCTTATCAACTCAGGACACTAGACCAGCCCTTATATTTTCTCCCAAAGAGGAAATTTAGCCTGAGGCTACTCTTTGTAGGTCTTCTTTTCAGGGCCCAGGGAAAGAGTGTGACAAAGTAAGTCTCAGAGGAGGAAGAGGCCAACCGAGGACTCCTTATACTTCTTTAAGCCCTTTCCAATAAGAAAACAGGGGACCCTAGGGCTGAAGCACAAGAGTTTCAGAACTCTAGACTTGCCTGCTCCTTCGTCTGTTCTCCCTAAAGTCCTTTCTTTATATCTGGGGACTTTATTCCAAAGATTTAATAACTGCATGGCTTCCTTAGCACGAGAGCAGACTCTTGGGGGCCTAGCGCTCTATCAGATATAACCCTTTAGCCACCGGGTCACAGGGTATCCAGAAATCCCAGGGAGCCAGCCAGGGCCTGCGGGTGAGGGACACTCAGTAATTTAGCAACAGATACAGAACTGTTTCCACATCGAATACCTGGCATGGATGAACCAGTGTACCTGGCTAAATTGCAGCCCCCACATGCCACAATTTTATATAGCTCTGCCTACCGATTGTATTGAAATTTATCTGTTTACTCTTCTTCTTGCCTGACAAGCTCATGATGAAATAAGAAGCAAAAAGTTTTTTGTTCATGTTTTATCTCTAATGCCAGCAGGTTATAAGTCACTTAGCAGATTCTCTAAGTATATTTAACTAAATGACAGAAAGAGGCCCTGCTGGATGTGACATGGAGGCAGCACCTCAGGAGATGGAAAGCTCTAGAAAAAGGGTGTTTCTCGTCCCTGAAGATGCAATCCTATTGAGAGATCTTGGTGTGGGATGACAGACTCCATCAGTCTGAACCCTGAGGGCAAGGTTCCAAACCACTAGGACCAGGAACCAAGGCCACTGGGAGTGGGAGACACTTGAGTTCCAGGACTATAAGGGAGGTGTCAATAATAATATATAAATTTTCAAGTAAACCAGGTGAAAGAAAGAAAAACAAATCCCAGGAATACTCTAAAATGATATAGCTCAGTGTTTCCTTTAATAACACTTTTGTTAGGATCAAGCCAAAAATGTGATTGTTTTCTTCCATTTCTGGTGAGGCATTTGCCTTTCTTTCAACAGATAAACCTTCCCCCCATCTCCCTGAAGAAGCAAGAAAATTAATACACCCATGGAACTGGTGCTGGGTTATTCCACTAGCATAATAGCAGCACTCTATGAAATTAATCCTCTTTGCTCATTTTATTTTATGCCTAGAAAATGTTACTGTCACATGGAGAGCCAGAAATATATTCCGAGATGCTTTATCAGATTATCTCTTTTGGAGAGTACTAGGATCAAAACATCAATGGATACAAGATTTGTTGGCATGGCAGAAGGAGCAAAGCTGAATTTTTCTCTAAAACCTGTGATTTCTTTCACCTTTAACAAGGGGATAATTGCTTCTCTAATTATAATTGAGCTATTTCTCATAGGAGTTTAATTGGAGGAACAGGGCACAATGTTCAACTTATTGACCCAGTTGTGCTTAGAAACTGTCATCTTATTTATCAACATTTGCATCTCTAATTAGCAAGTAGGAAAATATGGGGTGAGGTGCAAAAGAATAGATTATTTTACTGAGTATAGTCGTGATAAACAGGGAACAGATTTTTTTAAGCTGATACTGACAGGGCAGAAAACTGGTGGCAGCTGGAGGCTCCGCCAAATGTGCAGCATCAGGTGGCTCTCCATCTAATTGATTATTCATATGGCTGCTGAACACTTTGTTTCATGAGTCCTTCACGTTTCCTTGCCATTCTTCCATAATAGGAACTTCATATTGATGAATTTCCATGCAGCTATATTGTCTCCAGAGTGGTGCTTTACACTCTTTTCAGGCAAAAGAGTTTAGAGAGGAAAGAAGAATCTGAATACTGGTTTGGAGGGAGATGTTGCTTTCAGTGCCCAGTAATTACCCATTGGAATTTTCTGCTACCACGTGTGTAGCTACAAGACAGAGTTTTGGTTATGATATGATTCTCAGCCTTGAAGACGGGTTTTCAAAAGTATTAGGTTCCCTTACTAGCAGTCAGCCTTCAAGCTTTGCTTTGGTCCAATCAACATTCGCCAAAGTCACCTCCTTATTATGATCATCCCATACTTTTTGGGGTGAAAAAGTATGGGAAAAATCCCATATTTTTTTCTGATATCTGCCTCTAATAGTTACACACAGAGATCACCACAAGCCCAGAAACACTGTAAGCCAAATTAAAATTGCAATAAGTTTAAGCAACATAAACATGCATTTTAAAGCAAAAGAAATAACAGATTTTATCTGACTTATTATACATCTGTGGCTTGATTTTTGCATGTACTTAGTGGTTGCTTTAAGCCTATAGTATAAAATGCAGATTTCTAAAAATCATCAATTCACTTATATAAGAAAGATTTACTGCAGATGCATGGTATGCCAGACATTTTTCTGGTTGTAGGAAATACGAGTCAGTTAAGTCCCTCGAGGAGAAAAACAATAAGCAAGAATGTAAGAAAAATGAGTGAGATATTTTCAGATAATTACAAGTTAAAGGAAATTACACAAGGTCATATGAGAGAGGGTGATGGTTGTTGGGGATTGCGGATGACTTTAGAATTCAAGGAAAGTCTATTGAAGAGACAGTAATGGAGCTGAGATCTGAAGGTAAGGAAGGAGCTAGTCTTGAAAAGATCTGAGTAAGAAAGCTCCAGGTGATGGGAGCAACAAGGACAAGTACCCTCAGGAGGAGGTGATTGGTTACAGGGTTAAAAAGGAGGCCAGTGTGTCTGAGACCCAGTGAGCAAGGAGGAAGGCAGGACGACATTCAGTCAGGAAAGAGGGAACGAGGGCGCAGACTTGCAGAGACGGTAAGTGATTTGGAGTTTTCTTTAAATGCCTGAAAAGCCAATGGAGACATTAAGGAATTGTCGAGACCTGACATTCACCTTTAAAAGATCATTCTGGTTGCTGCATGGAAAATAGATTTTAGAAGTGCAAGAATGGATTTAGGGACACCTTTATGGGTTTATTTAATGATGAAAATCTAGAAAATATTTAGTCTTTCAGAAGAAACTGAAATGTTCCATGTGGAAGTTCAGCAGACCCACCAGAATGAGCTTTATTCAGATGACCTAAGATCAATGGTTAATAAACCTCAGCTGTGGCCGGGCGCGGTGGCTCACGCCTGTAATCCCAGCACTTTGGTAGGCCGAGGCGGGCGGATCACGAGGTCAGGAGATCGAGACCATCCTGGCTAACACAGTGAAACCCCGTCTCTACTAAAAAACACAAAAAAATTAGCCGGGCGTGGTGGCGGGCGCCTGTAGTCCCAGCTACGCGGGAGGCTGAGGCAGGAGAATGGCGTGAACCCAGGAGGCGGAGCTTGCAGTGAGCCGAGATCGCGCCACTGCACTCCAGCCTGGGCGACAGAGCGAGACTCCGTCTCAAAAAAAAAAAAATAAATAAAAAATAAACCTCAGCTGTGTTCGAGCACGGTCTCTATCTCAGTAGAGATTCAGCAGCAGGCAAAGACCTAACCTGTGCCCATAGTCACAGAGCAGGAGGGTTTTCAAAAATTTTTGTTGGCCTTCATTTGTTCAAAAAAGGTTTTTCTTCAATAAGTTCCCTTGCTTTGGGATTTCTTCCAATAATTTTTATATGCCTACACACACTATCATAAACTCATTATGGAGTCAGAGAGAGCAAAAAGCATGTATTTTTCTACAGATGGTCAGACTTAGCTATAGACCTGAACACTTTTAACTGGTAAATAAGAAGAAAGGCTGAGAGTTACTTATCCTGAAAGGCAAGTTTATAGTAAAAACTGGTTAGGAACTAGCTACAGATTAGTCAATTTGTTGCCCTTTTGCCCTGTAAAAGTTAGCCTTTTACGGACACTTCAATGACATTTTGTTCCCTTGGATGGTGTTATTACATATAGTCATTTTACTTTAGGTTTTGGTTATTTTATTTTATTTGGTTGTTGTTGGTATTAGTTCATTTGTCATCATGCTTTTATCTCCTCATAGTTGAACTTAGGTTTTAGAAGTTTTCAGATTTCAAGACAAGTTCACCTCTGCAATATGGCCTATGTATGTTCAACCCTCAAAAGCAATAAGCTAGACATATGTGCAATTAAGAGAGTGTTTCCCCAGCAGGAAAACAAATTCCCTTTCTTGGCAAATGCCTTTCCTTTACAGAAGTAACAACAACTGAGCAAAATGCCACTAGTTTCCACTTGGTATTTTTATCCTTTGGCTATATTTTTTACCATTGTCTAAAGATATAATTTCAGCTTGCTTAAAGACCAACATTTTTTTTAAAGCACAAAAATACCCAGACTTGCACAAACCTACTGAAAGGTGCAAAGTATATTTCACAGTGGTCAACACAGAAGTGAATGGATACTTGTTTTTTTCCAAAACTGAGAAGCAAAAATCTACAAAGTAGCCTCTGGTTTTTAGCAAGAGAGAACATCCAGCATAATTATCCACAGTAGAGAACTTTTTTGATTGTTTAAAGCACCTACAAGGGAAGGTGAGATACCTTTCACCAGTGGGAGAAATAAGAAAATAATAGTAGGACTTCAAACTCCGGAGCAATTAGAGCCAAACCTACCTGTGAAAGTCTACAGAAGAGTATTAGCTATCAATGTCTTTTAGAATTGTCAAGGCTTTGGCCAGGTACGGGGGCTCACACCTGTAATCCCAGCACTTTGGGAGCCTGAGGCAGGTGGATCACCTGAGATCAAAAGTTTGAGACCAGCCTGACCAACATGGTGAAATCTCATCTCTACTAAAAAAAATACAAAATTAGCCGGGCGTGGTGGTGCATGCCTGTAATCCTAGCTACTTGGGAGGCTGAGGCAGGAGAATCACTTGAACCCAGGAGGCAGAGGTTGCAGTGAGCTGAGATTGCACCATTGTACTCCAGCCTGGGCAACAAGAGTGAAACTCGGTCTCATTTAAAAAAAAAAAAAATTGTCAAGGCCTTGCTATTCTAACTGTGGTACATAGATTATCTACATCAACACGATCTAGGAGCTTAGAATCTCAGACCCAGAACTCTTAATGAAAATCTTAGCAAGATCATCAAACCAGTCTTCACCAGGCACAGTGGCTCATAACTGTAATCTCAGCAGTTTGGGAGGCCAAGGCAGTAGGATCACTCGAGCCTAGGAGTTCAAGACCAGCCTGGGCAATGTAAGAGAACCCCAACTCTACAAAAAATAAAAAAATAAAAATTAGCCAGGCATGGCGGTGTGTGCTACTCCAGGAACTGAGGTGGCAGGATCACTCGAGCCTGGGAGGTCGAAGCCACAGCTGCAGTGAGCCGTCATCACACCACTGCACTCCAGCTGGGGTAACAGAGCAAGACCCTGTCTCAGAAAACAAACAAACAAACAAAACCACTCTGCAGTACTGGTTCTCAGAAGTGGAGGCACAGTGGAATCACCTGGGAATTGTTAGAATCTACCAATGCTTATATCCCACCCAGAGATTCTGATTTAATAGACATGATATATAGCCAGGTTATCGAGATTTTTTAAAGCTCTCCATGTGATTCTAAAATGCAGTTTGAAAAGCTCTGGTGTAAAGGACAAAGTTAAAACAAACAAATACACAAAAACGTCAGATTTGTCACTTCCAAACCAGTCAGTAAAACTTGGCAGATTCCCAGCTACTAGCTAATGCTCCTTGGAGAAGCTTGGCTTGGCTGAGTGTACATTTGATAATAGCCCCATAATTGCTTTTCCCATTTGTTTGATTAATGTACCTATAGACAAGGATTCTAGGCTAAATCTCCATTCTTTTAGGTGTGCACACAGTTCTCAACTCTGCTATATCATTTTCAACCTGTGCTCTGACTTGATGGGCCTCAGTATGAGTTTAACAGAGTAACCTTTCTGATAGACGTGGAGTTTTCTAGCTAATGCTTGCTGGACTCACTTTTCATGTTGGGTGGCATGTGGCAGTTTCCCTCTGTTAATTAGAACAAATGTGCCAATTATGTTAACGTTTCTCCCGATACCAATCAGTGAATAATTAGACACAACACATCTGTCTTTCACAGGAGAGTATAATAAGAAAACTGCAAGATGTTTTGCTCTCTATTATTGACATATATGATTAGACAATTCCTTAACCAATCATAGGGTTAACAAGTTTGTGTATCAGAAGGGCAAAGGATGCCAAAAGTGGTTTTTGGAGCTGAGAACCTCTCATTGTTAGCATGGTCCTGACCAAAGTCCACCTATCTCTGAAGTATCTCTGCAAAGAATTTAATTGGTCTTTCCTTCCTTTTTAACAACAACAAAACATTACATTGCCCTTTTGGTAAAATGCAGGGATGTTGTTTATTTATCCTGAACTAAAGAAATAAACAAGTTCTTAGGTATTTGAAACCCTTAAAAAGTCAACTTTATGTAAAAGGTTACACTAAAAGAAATCACAGGCCGGGCGCGGTGGCTCACGCCTGTAATCCCAGCACCTTGGGAGGCCGAGCGGGTGGATCACGAGGTCAGGAGATCGAGACCACGGTGAAACCCCGTCTCTACTAAAAAAAATGCAAAAAATTAACCGGGCGCGGTGGCGGGCGCCTGTAGTCCCAGCTACTCCGGAGGCTGAGGCAGAAGAATGGCGTGAACCTGGGAGGCGGAGCTTGCAGTGAGCCGAGATCGCGCCACTGCACTCCAGCCTGGGTTACAGAGCAGAACTCCGTCTCAAAAAAAAAAAAAAAAAATCACAAAATTCAGCCTACAGGATCATATTGAAGGTGTTATAAACATGTAAATCAGAATCAGATTATAATTTGTTATAATTTCTACTTATATGTTTCCATGATATATGAACTTTGGAGCATTCTGATTGATGGGGAAAAAATGATTTTTTTTTTGTATTGTTATTTACTGGCATTTGCATCCCATACTTGGCAAGGCTTTAGAAAGAGATGGGGTTATAGTCCAATTATTTCATAATATAAGCAGTGCCTGCTTGTATTGATTCTAAAAGTATAAGGAAGACACTTATAAAATCAACACATTAGTCTTCTTGAAGATAGTCAAAGTGTATCAGAAGATAAAGCTTTTTGTTTCATTTGGAATTAAAAGTCTATACCTTCTGCCGACTATGGCTCACATTCCTAAATGCTTAATGATATTCAGCTATGTATTTGTATCATCTAAAGGTGCAACATCATCCTTTCTTATCATAATGTCTATATTATTGTGATTACAAATATATTCTCCCTCTTGTTAGAAACAGAAAATAAGACTTGAATGTCAGATTATAAATTTTTTTCTTACTGTGACACTAATTTGCTTATTTTAAAAAGGAACAACTCAGAAAATACATTAAATATATTGGAAAATAGCTATGATTACTACTCCTAGTGTCAGACATTCCAGGAAACCCCCAAATATATGAATCACCCTGGGACACATTCCTTCTGCCCAGGGCATTGTGAAGAATGCAGCACTGAGGGAGAGGCCATAGTTGTCCTTTTTTAAAATTATATCACTTTGCCCCAGATATTTGTCTTCTGTTTTTTAATAGTAAAACATGAGCATAGTTATAATTCTAAAACTTTTGATAGCAAACCATGAGAAAAATTATTGGAAATAAGTATTGTTTGGAAAATAACTGTCTTATCTAAATGGGGTCCCATTATATACACTCTAAATACAAGAACATTGGAATCTGTCTTTGGTAGCTTCATTTTTATCATGTTTAATAATAAAGATGAGAGGGGAGTGAATGGAAGTGAGAAAATGACTACGGAAAGTCAAGATAAAACTGGATTATAACTTATCCCATATTTAGTGACCAGCTATAAATGGATAATCCACTGGAAAATTTAATCCATATTTCTCTGTCTTTGCTGATACTGTAAATAAATAAAAATTTAAACTGAAGAATAAAGTATTTAGGAAAGAGGTAACAGAGCATTTTTGAAATGTGAGGGTTGCTGAATGCTGGAGTTGCTACTCAAAAGAAATTATGGAAGCCTGAGCCATTGAAAAATGATCTCCTTGTTTTGCTACAAAACTTCTCTTTCCCTGACAGGACTTAGGCAGCCAATGGTTCTGACTATTATAAAATAGCAGTAACAGCGAAACTATAAAACCATGAGTCTAGGAGCTATAAAAAGTTGCTCCTTAAATCACACTGCACACAAGTAGGGATGGCAGTTTTATACACCTTTTCTGGGAACATACCATATACTGTCAATATGCTCTAGTCCTAAAAATTGTAATCAAATTAGGAATCATTCATATTCGTTAATAAAATCATGTTAGTATTTTGAGAACACTGTACCAGACTGAAGGCGTCAGTAGAATTGAATGACCTCACTGTTGGAGGGATTTCTAAACACTTTCTCCTTCTACTGCAAGAGCTGGAATTGGTCCCCATGTAGAAAGGCTAGAGATATGACATCTCTTCTGTACATACACTAGCAGGGATTGAGGCTGTAAATAAGACGACACTTTCCTCACTGGGAGTGTTTTATGTATGAAGACTCATAAACCACTACCTATAGTCCTGTGCAGTGGTAAATTGAAAGTCAGATTTCTTTCAGGTGTTTTTTTGGAAGATATTATTAATTTGGTATTATGAATTTGAAGATATGTACATGTACTTCTTAATAGAGACACTAAGAGGCACTGAATCATCATTGTTTAAAATACATTTAGGTAGGTATAGCTTTGTGTAGGGTCAAGTTAGTTCTAGGGAAGAGGCAATTAAATTACACTTATTGACTGTCTCCTAATTCCAGGTGCTTTCTTTTCGTATCTCATTTAAATCCCCCTACAACCCCAGGAGGGATGCACCCTCCATTTGTACAGGTGAAGATTATGATTCTGGGAGCTTATAGCCTGCGCAAGGCTGCAAGCTCAATTAGTGGGAGGGCTGGGATTCAAAGCCAACTCTGCCTGACTCCAAAGCACTGTTTTCCTTATAACAAAAAAAAGTTTTTTTGACTGTATGTTTTCAAAATTTGGTTCATTATAATGACACAAATTGTCTGTGTGATCTCATTTGATAATTTTCATAAGCTAATCAGATAAACCCCAGGCAAATATGTATTTGGGGAGAAGTCATTCATTTAAAAAGTGTCACATCCATCTCATCAATTTTCTAAAAGTAGAGAAAGCACATTTCATTGTGTTGTGTGTTATTATTTATACACACTTCATAAATAATGAAAATTTTTAGAAATTTTTGAATGGAAAAGAGAAATTCAACTCCAGCATCCATTAATGATTTTATTATTGAAGAAGAATAAGACTGGAGGACAAAGTTTATAGAGAGAAGGCCAATGTGAGGAGATATTGTGATGGATTCACACCTATTGCAGTGTGAATCGATCACATCATATTCAGCACTTATTATGTTTTTTTTGTATTTGTTGAGCATCCAGATGGAATTATCTAAAAAGTAATTGGAAGTATGAATAGAGCTTAAGAAAAGTTGGGACTGAAGATAACGATTTGTGAGTTGTCAGCCTTGAGAGTGAATAAAGTCACTCAACCAGTGCATATCTCATTCTCAAACCTGGCTGCACATTGAGGTCACCTGAGGAGTTTTTACACTGATTCTTGGGCCCTTTGTCTGCCCAATTAAATAAGAACCATTGAAGGTGGGGCCCCAGGCATCAGGATGGCTTAAGCGCTCCCCAGGTGATTCTGATGCAGGACAAAGGACCATGATATAAAGTAGAAGGAGGAGAAAATGAGAGAGAGGGAGATCCTTGAGAAGGACTATATGAAAATGCTGGATGTTATAAAAGGACCAGTGAAAGAGGTTTGCAAAAGAACAGATAATCAAGTGGCAGGAAAGACAGCAGAGGGAGGCTTTTCAGAGGGACAGTGGAGCTGTTTGCCATAGAGAAGAGAAGATGCCTTTGGATTTAGCAACGAGAAAGGCCACTGATCACCTTTGAAAGTGAAGTTTGAGTAGAGTGGGGATCAGGAATCCAGACATGGCTAAATGGAAGAGTGAATGAGCAGGTGCATAGAGAGGGATTGGGAATATTTCACTCTTTCAAGGAGTTTAGCCACTAAGGGAAAGAGAAGTCTGAAGCATAGCTGGGGAGGGTGGGTGTGTCAGGCTTAATTTTGTTGTTGGTTTGTTTTTAGGTTAGAAGAGATGCAGGCATGTTTCTGTATTACTTGAGACTCAAAGAAAGAGCATTGGGGGAGTTGATATCTTTTGGACTATTCAGTTTGTTGAAACAGACATATGCCATCTGCTCAGATTAAGGAAAATTACAAAAATATTGAGTACTTTGTTGGTGACCCAGGGTCTCAACAAGCCTACGAGGACAAATATTAGAAAGTTACCAGTGAGTGAATTTCTGAGTGCAAGATTTCAATTGGGCATGGTCTTCAGAGTGGCATGTAAACCTTCAAGTTCATGTCTTCTGAATAAACTTTCTCCTTTTTCCTAGTTGCTAACACGTTTCAGCTGAAGTAGGATGACCCTATTTTTGTTGGTCTTTCATTGATTGTTGAATAAAGACTCACAATGTGAAGATTGTTCCTTACAGAATTATATCACACTGTTGCTCAGCATCCTCACCCCAGAGCATATTGCCTGAGAAAGAAACAAACCACAGTGTTCAGTTATGCTGAACACTGTGAGTTCTAGCATCTGGAAATGTATAAATAGATGGTGTCTTTAGGACAGAATTTAATGGAAAATGTATCCATTGAAAATATTTTTAAGTATCTCTTATTTTATGCTAGATATCATTCTTCCCTGTTTACTAAACTTTTATCTTAGTTTGTAAGTTATTTAAAGTAATAAGGACATGTTGTAGAATAAATTATTTACTATGTGAAGAAATCACCATAACACCAGCTCAGAGTTATACAGAAGTCATCAAAAGTGCTTTGACATATAGTATCCTTTTCAAACCTCACAAGAACCTTATGAGGAAGTTAGGACAGATATTACTTTTCTTGTTGTAGAAGTAGAAAAATAAGGTTGAGTGATTTTATGTGACTTGCTGAAGAGCATAGACTCAGTGAATGGCACAGCTGGGTCCTATCTCTAGGCTTTTGGCCTTGAGACTTGAGTGTCTTTTGGCAAAATCTCACTGGGCTTCTGTGAAAGTGCAGCATAAACACAACTGCAGAGGCATCCAGGAGACATATTTGGAGAGTTCCATTCACTGACCTCCAACTCCCACTCCTATTACCCTGTTCTTTAGTCTTCCCAGTTCTCAGCCTTCCTCATTCTCCCCTGGTAGAATTTCTTGCTTGGTAACAGAACCACTATCCTCTCATGCCTTTGTGAAGTGCTCTTTAAAATTTTTGCTAGCATATCCCTAAAAGACTTAAAAAATACATATCTCCTTGCACATTTTATGTTGGTATCTAAAAAATATTATCAAAAAAATTAAATAGTGGGAAAAGATGCCATGTCTGTGTATATTATAAACATTTGACATCTTTAAAAAGAATTGTTGACTTAAAGTTATCCAATGGAATGCAGACACCATAATGATGTCTTACTCAACATTACCGATTAAGAAAATGTAAGAACAAACTCTTCTTTAATAGTAGGAAAACTTGCCAGGCACAATGGCTCACACCTGTAATCCCAGCACTTTGGGAGGCCGAGGCAGGTGGATCAACTGAGGTCAGGAGTTCGAGACCAGCCTGACCAACATGGAGGAACCCCCGTCTCTACTAAAAATACAAAATTAGCCAGGCATGATGGCACATGCCTGTAATCCCAGCTACTTGGGAGGCTGAGGCAGGAGAATTGCTTGAACCCGGGAAGCAGAGGTTGCGGTGGGCCAAGATCACGCCATTGCACTCCAGCCTGGGCGACAGAGTGAAACTCCATCTCAAAAAAAAAAAAAATAGGGAAACTTACAGTATTCCTTTTTCTATTTTAACTTATATTTCTATGCCATTTCCCCCATAGGTTTTTACTCTAATAGAATAAATTTTAGGCATAAAAATTTCCATTGGTCATCATATTTCTCTGTAATAAAAATTTGCGTATAAACTTTATCTCCTTTGACCATAGGGATCAAATTGTTAATTTTTTTTAAAAAACCCAAATGTACTACAAGTTTTGATAAATAATTACTTGGCATAAAGACTGAATTTTTATTGGAAATACAGCTTTTAATAGGAGAAATGAGGTTTTCATCCCTGCTCGCCTGTCTAGGTAGCTCATTTAGCCTAGTTTGAATGCTACTGCTGAAATGAAACAGGATGAAATCAATTACATTTCTATCTGTCATTTATAATGAATTCAAATACTGAGAACCTTCTCATACATAAGTAAGTAGAAATACGTGGACTTATGTTGTAACAGTGTCCCTCAACTCTGCACGTCTTCCAAGTTACAGGTCAAAAATTACATAGCGATCTGTCATCAAAATTTATGTTCAGTGACCCATCATTTGACATATTAGGCCCTCCTTCAGTTTTGATGAAAGCAAAGAATTTAAACCACCTGATTTGCAAAAAGGATTTGTCGCCCAGTTATTACAGTCCCTTATTTTCTCAACTACAACACTAATATTCCCAATTATTCCCTTATCTGGTGCCCTAGAGGTTTTTACACTCTCATGTAATATATGATGGCAAGATTTTCATGCAAAAGATGTCTTTCTTCTGAAAAGCAGAGGGCAAGTTCTTAGAGATATTAGTTATAAGAAGGAATGCAGACTGGGCGCAGTGGCTAATGCCTGTAATCCAGCACTTTGGGAGGCTGAGGCCGGCAGATCATGAAGTCAGGCAATCGAGACCATCCTGGCTAACACGGTGAAACCCCATCTCTAGTAAAAATAGAAAAAATTAGCTGGGCATCGTGGCATGCCCCTGTAGTCTCAGCTACTCAGGAGGCTGAGGTAGGAGAATTGCTTGAACCCAGGAGGCAGTTGTTGCAGTGAGCTGAGATCGCGCCACCGCACTCCAGCCTGGGCGACAGAGCGAGACACCGTTTCAAAAAAAAAAAAAGGAATTCATATGGAAGTTAAAGATATACTGTGATTCCCTTAAAAATATTTTTGTTTGTATATCTCTTAGAAATTTTTGCATAGTGCTGGATACTTGAATCCAGCCCTATCTTGAAATCCTAGCACCCTGAACTCCTCTTTATCTGCAGTGTTCCCTTAGTTATTTATATGCCATGTTTTAGGAAACTTTATATGATTTAGTTTGTTATTTCTCCAGGTCATTTACATGTGAAGAGATCCTTCTAATAGTGGAATTTAAAATTGGTCTCTCTTAATGACATTTCAAGTCATTGTCAAAAATTTGGGGGAGCAATTTTGGAGGGTAAGGAGGCTTTCCTGATGCCCCTAAAATCAAAGCACACCCAATTCTACTGCTAGTTCTGAAAGTAAACCTGTATTGGTCCTATGAGTGACAGGGTCATGTTGATAACAGAAAGTGTGTCCAATGCTTCTTTTCTAAGGACCTCTCTGCTTCCCTGGGGACACCAGCCTGAGGACAGCCTCAACCCAAGTCCTGGAGTAGCTAAAATGTATGTGTCTTGGTGTCCCAGCTTTTTCCAGCCCCTATCTCGTAATCTGCAGCCCACTCTGTCAAGGCTGAAGTCTGTAGCACTGTAGTTGGCTCCTCCTGGTTCTTGGTTTTATGGACAGAAAAGAGTCCAGAGCTCAGGCGGTCCTGAATTTGGATCTCTGCTCCTTTCTGAGCTTATAAACCTGTGCAAGCTCTTCTCTGTGAGCATCATTCTTCTCATCTGAAAATTGGGAATGCAACTACTTCTTTCACAGGCTGCTGTGAGGAGGAATCACTAAGTACAAAGCACCTCGCTGGGGACCTGGAATGCACCATACAAGCTTCTTGTTTTTCTCCTTTTTTACCCTTGGGCAACTTCTCTCCATTCCTCCCAACTGCTTCTCTGTCGTCCCAATTTCAGCACAAGGAAAATGTTCTTCTTTTGAACTCTCTCTGCTCCCTAAAGCCAGGTCAGGATTCTCATGATTTGCATTAGGGAGTACAAGGTGCCCTCTTCCCCTCAAGGTCACATCCCCTACTTTTCCTACCCTAAAGAATGGTCATTATTCTTTAACACAGAATGTGTCCCATAATTTTCACTTCTCCTTTCCCATTAGACCAGCCCATCTGCCCCAGAATCCTTTCTGTGGGGAGAGAGAAAAGCAAAGAAGAGAGCTCAGGGACAACTATTCCATGTGTGTCATCAAAGCCATGGATCGAAGGCTGCTGGAGGTGGCAAGGTCACCAAGTCTGCCCAGAAAGCTCAGAAGGCTAAATGAATGTCATCCCTAATACCTGCCACCCCAGTCTTAATCAGTGGTGGGAGAATGGGCTCAGAACTGTTTGTTTCAATTGGCTGTTTAAGTTTAATGGTAAAAGACTGGTTAATGATAACAATGCATCGTAAAACCTTCAGAAGGAAAGGAGGCTGTTTTGTGGACTACTTTGGGGTTTTTTTGTTTCGTTTTGCATGTGGCAATTATTCGTTTTTAAAATCTATAGTTTTTAATGGAAACAACTTGACCAAAAATCTGTCACAGAATTTTGAGTCCCATGAAAACAAAGTTTAATGAGGAAAAAGATGGGGGACAGTCCCTTTTTGGGGACCAGTGCAGTCATAGGACCAACATAGGTGTACTTTCAGGGTGGTAGGGAAAGCAGAGGTGGCTGGAAGAAAATTCCATCTCTTAGGGACATGGATAAGGGTGTTGAAGCTAATGATGTGTATGCCATGGTATGGGGCTGAGAGACTGATGTCATTAAAAGAACAAGTAGACTGGCTTGAAGTACTAGGAGAAAAGAAATGGAAAACCCATAAAAGTAAATTAAAAATTATAAAAATATAGATGGTCTAGGTAAAAATAATAGTAATATAAATTGCCTATCATTTATGCCTCATTACCAAGTATGATAGTGAATATTTCTTTTATTTTAATAACCTGTGTTTCATTAAAAATCTTTTCTACTTATTTTTTTAAAACTGATAATGTTTTCTTATACTTTAGAATTAGAAAATAATTTTTATGAAGATTAATTAAAATGTTAATACCTATAAAGCAAATGCATGCTAATGACATCTCTAGAATTATAAACTCATAGAGTTTAAAGGAAAATATGTATTTAGGGTTAGCATACAAACAATATTGGCCAATTTAATACTCAATTACTTACATATTTGTAGTGCAATCTTGAAGAGTTATAACCTAATATTGAGTGGACTTTGCCCCACAGAAATGCCAGCGAAGGCTGAAAGGACTCAGGTGTTAAATATTTTTCTTCTAGTTTTTAGATTAACACCATTTCTCTTTTATTTTTTAGGGTTGTTTGGGGTTTGTCTCACCGCTTTTAGTATATCCTTAACTAAATGTTAATAATTATTTTCAAATACTTAACTGTATGCCAGACAGTAGGTGTCTTGTGTATTAATTCATTTAGTTTTTAAGAACCTTATAATGGGTTCTAAAATTATCCTCATTTTGTAAATGAGGACTCTAAGGCATACAGAAGATAAGACACTTGCCCACGGGAGACATAAACATTAGCTCCAAAATCGCAGAGTTCAGTTTTGGGCCCAAGCAGTTGAAAGCAGCCCTCTTAGCTGGTACTTTAGGAACTGCTCCTTAGAATAAGATGGTCGAGGCCGGGCGCGGTGGCTCACGCCTGTAATCCCAGCACTTTGGGAGGCCGAGGCGGGTGGATCATGAGGTCAGGAGATCGAGACCATCCTGGCTAACAAGGTGAAACCCCGTCTCTACTAAAAATACAAAAAATTAGCCGGGCGCAGTGGCGGGCGCCTGTAGTCCCAGCTACTCGGGAGGCTGAGGCAGGAGAATGGCGTGAACCCGGGAAGCGGAGCTTGCAGTGAGCCGAGATTGCGCCACTGCAGTCCGCAGTCCGGCCTGGGCGACAGAGCGAGACTCCGTCTCAAAAAAAAAAAAAAAAAAAAAAAAAAGAATAAGATGGTCGATTACACATAGTGGGACTAATAACACCAAACAACAGCAGAATAGGCAAACAGGTCATTCTAATATTGCCGTGTAACTGTTTTTAGTACCTGTTAATAAAATCCCATGCCTTTATAAACACTTGAGTAAATTAGTTCAAATATGCCCCAAATCATTGAAAGGACTATAGTTACTGAACCACAAGGACAGAAATTGTTTGAACATTATTTTGCATCATTGCAACCATGACAACAAGTCATGGTTTATGGTTGAAGTCTTTTATTGTTTTCTGAACTCCAACCTGTTTTTCTTTCTCTTGGAATATTTTTATGTAACTAAAAATAATTTCTAACTCAGAAAGACTACTTTCTTGTATAAATCAGTTTGTTCAATGGAAGGAGTAGAGAAAAGAGAAGCCTCAGGTTGAAATCAACAAAAAGCATTGAAATGACCAAAATATGAACAGAATTCAGTGGCCAGACCAGAGTACTGACTCCTGGTTAACCAAGATTAGCTTACAAATAAATAGCTTTGCAACAATATAATTAACTACATACTATTCAATGCAATAAATTTCTAACACAACAAAAGATTCTGTATTGTTTCTTGGAATTTTATATACAGTGTATATAAGGAGACTCATTGTGGAATTGTTTCACATGGAAGAATGTTAGTTTAGTAGTGTGTGTTCTGGAAATACTGCATGAAAAGGTTATATGTTTTAAATTGTATGTTATGGCTCTTATATTGATTTGCTGATTCAGACAATCCTTTACATGATAAACAGAATTATTCTCACACACTGTTTTCCTTTCCATTCATCTTCTAAGTTTTATTAACGCTTTATCATTTTTATCTAAGCCACAATGGTAATAAATGTTGTTGCAGCCATGCTGGCCCTGCAAATATCCTTTTTATCAATATCCATGTTCAGTTCTTAATGCTAAGATAAAGCTGATCCAAAAGAAGCAGAAGTCCTCAGGGTTATTTTTAAAAATTATTTCAAAACTTTAAGAGAAAAACTCACTTTGTTCATGGAAATAATGGGAATTTTTAGCAACTTACCTGTTGTCAAAATCATGCTGTGCTAGCTGGATTCCTTGTGAGATCAGCCAAATCTGAATCATTATCCTTTCTACCCTCAATTACTTTCTGCCTCCTGTATCCCTGCTCCGTAAATGGGTCCTTAAGCCAGAAATGGAAGATGAGTGCCCCTTGCACCCCCCTTTCCACATACCGTCAACTCATATGTCCTGTCCTCTGTCCCTTCCAATTATTGTCTGAATCCATTTTTTTTTTCTCCCTGTCTCCTATCCCTATGCCACTTTTTTCTTTTCTTTTCTGTTTTTTGGAGACAGTGTCTTGCTGTGTCACCCAGGCTGGAGTGCAGTGGTGCACTCATAGCTCTCTATATCCTTGACCTCCCAGGCTAAAGCCATCCTCCTGCCTTAGCCTCCCAAGTAGCTGCAAATACAAGCACATGCCCCATGCTCTACTAATTTTTGCATGTTTCTTATAGAGGTGTGGTCTCACTATGTTGTCCAGGCTGGTTGTAAGGACTTCAGCGCTGACACTGAGTAAGAGAAGGAGCCATTAGGAGGGTTTGAGATGAGGTATAGTGTGATGGTTGATAGTGAGTGTCAACTTGATTGGATTGAAAGATACAAAGTATTGATCCTGGGTGTGTCTGTGAGGGTGTTGCCAAAGGAAATTAACATTTGAGTCAGTGGGCTGGGAAAGGCAGACTCACTCTTAATCTGGGTGAGCACCATCTATCTAATCAGCTGCCAGCACAGCCAGGATAAAGCAGGCACAGAAACATAAAAAGTCTAGACTGGCCTAGCCTCCCAGCCTACATCTTTCTCCCTCAGCAGCACATTTAGCAAGCGTCCCATGCTGGACCCTTCCTGACCTCAAACATCAGACTCCAAACTCTTTAGTTTTGGGACTTGGATTGGCTCTCCTTGCTCCTTAGCTTGCAGAAGGCCTATCGTGGGACTTTGTAATCATGTGAGTTAATACTTAATAAACTCATATATATATATATATATATATTTATTTAGTTCTGTCCCTCTAGACAACTCTGACTCATACATATAGTATGCTCTGACTTACAGTTTATGGATCACTCTAACTACAGTCTTGAAAATAGACAGTTGAGTTTTCAGAGGAAAAGCAGAAGATAAGACAAACAGTGTTTGCAATAATTCAGGAAGGAAACGATAGTGACTTGGACCAGGAAGAGGTGGGAGTGAGGGAATGAGAAGTGGTCCAATTCCTAATGTGTGCTGCTCTAACATTGAATGGGCTAAGAAAGAGGAAAAAAGTGGTCAACACTAAGTCAGGCTTTTGTCTAAGTAATTGGAAGGCTACAGTTGGCATTAAGTGAGGTGCATAAGACTGTGAGAGGAGCAGGTTTGGAAAGGCGGTTCAGGAGGTCATTATCAGACAACCAAGTGGAGTTGCATGAAGACAGTTGGATATACGAGTCTGGAGATCAGCGGTGGGGTCTGGGCTGGAGATAAATTTAGGAGTCATCTGTGTGAGACTGGATGAGCTCACCAAGGAAGTGAATATGGATAGAAAATAGAAAGCAGCAGAATTCCAAGGACCGAGCCACAGGGACACAAATGTTAGCCTAAGGAAGCTGTGAGGCATGAAGCAATGTAGGACAAAACCCAGGAAAGTGTGCTGTCCAGAGAAAGCAAGTCAGGAGGAGGAAGGGAGTAACCGGATCACGTGCTGCTGTGAGTCAAGTAAGATGAGCACTAAGACCTCAGCAGCACATTTAGCAAAGAGAAAGGAGCAGCTATGGTGAAGCAGTGGAAGTGAACACAGATTAGAGCGGGCTCAGTGGGGAATTGAAGACAGCAAATGTAAACAACTATTCCAAGGAGTTTTGTAAGGCAGGGCAAGCAGAGAAATATAGGTGGTGGGCGGGGGGTGAGTAGAGGCAGAAACGGGTGAGAAGGGTTTTTGTTCTAAGTTTTGAAAGCTAACAGCACATCTGCAGGCTGGTGGAAATGATTCAGTATCAAGGGAAATTGAATAATTTAGGAGAGAAAGAAGAGAATTGCTGGGACTTGCCCTTGAATAGAAGAGCGAGACTAAGATACGGAGTACAAATCCGAGGTGACAGATAGGAACACAGAGAGCTCCCCCAGTGATAAGAGACAGGGTGCAGATGGGGGTGAGGACACAGATAGTGGGAGAGCCCTGGAAGATGTCTTGTGATTGTCAGTTTTCTCAGTGACATAGAAATCTTGGTCATCAGCTGAAAGTGAGGCTAGAAGGGGAGGTAGTGGAGAGGAGTGTGAAATAGTTATCTAGGAGAAGGAGAAAGTGAACAATGAAAACATAATGTGCTTTCTTGGCAGAAATAAAGGCCCACTTGTGATCTGTTATGAATTTTAAGATGAGCCCACTCTCCATGGCTATTTACACCCATGTTCCACCTCAAGAACACAGAGCGGGGTGCCGGGCATGGTGGCTCACACCTGTAATCCCAGCACTTTGAGAGGCCAAGGCAGGCAGATCACTTGAGGTCAGGAGTTCGAAACTAGCCTGGCCAACATGGTGAAACCCTATTTCTACTAAAAATACAAAAATTAGCCTGGCATGGTGGTGGGCACCTGTAATCCCAGCTACTCATGAGGCTAAGGCACAGGAATCGCTTGAACTCAGGAGGTGGAGGCTGGCTGCAGTGAGCTGAGATTGTACCACTGCACACGGTGAGACTTTGTCTTAAAAAAAAAAAACAAAAAACAACACACAGTGGTGTTGTAGGCAAATAGTGGCCAAGTGAATATCTTGAAGTGACAAAGGGATGAGAGCATTGACAGTATAATGCAAGAATCATATATAAAGCTAGACATTGGAATTTATACTTGAAAGTCTGAGAAACAAATTGGTAAATTCAATAGATTGTAGGTGCTGGTGAAGGATTATTGAATTCAGTATCTTAGAGTGAATAGGAAAGACAGAAAAGGGTAAAGGAAAGGATAATTGGAACTAAGTTTATGGAGGAGTTGTAATTGATGATAAGGACAAGAGCTAAATCATGCTTCTCAAACTTTAGTGTGGATATAACCCCCTGAAGTTCTTACTAGGATGCATATTTTGATTTGGTAATAGGTGGGCAGAGCCTTAGATTCTATATGTCTATCAAGCTCCCAGTGACACTGATGCTATTGATCCAGGGATTGCATTTTTAAGGGCAATGATCTAGACTGGTATTTCTCAACCCTAACAGTAAATTACAACCCTTGGGGAGCTTAAAACACACTGATGCTAGACCAGTGAATTGGAGTTTTTGTGGGTTGGATTTAGCTTCTCTGGGTTGAATTTAGAATTAATATATTACAAATGTTTTCCACATTATTCTATTGTGAAGCGGAGTTGAAAACCTTTGGCCTAGAATGTGTGACCTTAGAGGATAAGGTCATTGCAGGATGGAGGGTCATGGAACTGAAGGGCCAAGACGTTGGAAGCGTCACCTTTGTGGTTATTAAACTCTTCAGAAATTATGCTTTAGATAAAGTGACTATAAGCCCAGAGGTCTGTAAATAACTACAAACAAAAAAAGAGTCAAAATTGGGTGATATAATCTGGTGACATGAGATTCAAGGCAAAGATGTTTAGAGAGAACAGTCTGAAAGACACAATGCTGAGCAAGCACAGCACTTACCCATCCCCAGACCCAGTGGCACATTGGATTTGGGAAATCAACATCCACCCCTTCAGAGGACTTCAGAAGAAACAATGGCATCAGAAAGACCTAGACTTTAGTATGAGAAAAACGTAAAGGAAACAATCTAAAAAGAGACCAAAATGTTAGAAGATTTTCATGCTGTCTTCCAGGCGGTATGGAAGAGTGTCAGGACTTCTGGAGTTGGTGATGTGTAGCCCCTGGTATTACAGCACAGGAGGTGAGGGGCGGCCTGCAGTCCTCACTGAGCCTTTCATGGAGATGATTGTCTCAAAGCAGAGTGCTGTGATATGGCTGGCAGCACTGGGGTGTTGGGGACTGTGGGGTCTTGTCAGAAGCTGGAGGAGTCCTGGGCCCCCCTCTTCATTCCCGCAGCTATTTTCTAGCTGTAGGACCCTTTGCTTCTTGAAACAAAGGCGTGAAAGCAAATCCAGTATGGAAAACAGATAAAAGCAGAGTTTCTGTGATTCAAGTGGGAGTTAAGGGAGGAGAGCAGTGTCCCCCACAGGGGTCGTCAAACACTGCTGGGGCTTCTCAGGGGTCCTGAGGTTCAGGTCAGAACCACTGCTCCAACACAGGCAAGAGACACCCAAGGCAAATGTGTAATTATGTATAATCGAGTGAAGATCATATACCCAGCAATCATGTCTCTTCAAATCTTTTGTCAACCATGCAGATTGAACACTTTCTTCCATGTAATAAACTCTTCATACAAACAAGTGGTTTCTAATATCCCTTGGGACTTCTTTATGTTGTTTATGATTAGGATAACATCACTGTTAAACTGACATCATTTACATAGGAGGAACCGTAGTTTTGAATAGCTATGGGTTCTCCAGAGGCAAACCATGAACCAAAGGTATGAATGTGAGTAGTTTTTTAAGAAAGTGCTTCCAGGAGAACCCTGTAAGTGGGTGAGCAAGCAGGAGAGGAAAGAAGCCTAGTACAGGTTGAATGTTCCTTATACAGAATGTGTGAGACCAGAATTGTTTTGGACTTCAGGTTTTGGAGTACTGGCATATACATAATGAGATATGTTGGGAATGGGACCCAAGTTCAAACATGAAATTCATTTGTTTCATATGCATGTTATGCACATAGCCTGAAGGTAACTTTATATAATATGTTAAACAATTTTGTGCCTGAAACAAAGTTTGTGCACACTGAACCATCAGAAAGCAAAGGGATCACTATGTGAGTCACTCATGTGGACAATCTATGGTTGTTTGGTGTCACCGTCATTCCCTTGGGGATGCTGAATAAACTGTGTGTTACGCACCTGCATTTTGACTGCAACCGGTCATGAGGTCATGTGTGGGATTTTCTACTTGTGGTGTCACGTTGGTGCTCAAAAGTTTCAGATTTTGGAGCATTTCAGATTCCAGATTTTTGGATTAGGTATGCTCCATTTATAATAGTGTCAATTCAGGTCCAGTCTCAAGGATGTAGCTGCAGCCTCATCCCTGCAAGGGACTTCTGGAAAGTTACAGCTCAGATTCTGACCCAATGAGACAGAAGTCATATTTCTGCACCCATTAGTCAATGGCTAATGGGGCTAATGGGGAAGTTATAAAAAATCCTTGGCAAAAACAATCCGTGAGCCTGAGGGCTGCTCTTCAGAGAAGAGGGCCAGGTATGAGTACTTGAAAGAGAAGCACACTGAGCACAAAAATTGTAGAAGGGATGCAAGAACAACTGAGACTAAGGGAGCCTGTCCATGCTTTGTGTGATAGGAGGCTTTCTTTAGAAGGGCATAGATAACCTAGGTAAAGATTCCACTCAAAAACTATTAATTTCAACTTTTAATTATCATCAAAGAGATTTTTAACAGTATAAATTGTGCCACCTTCTCCCGTGCACTTCCAGCAGGATCGTATTTCCACACATAGGGTGAAACGTTGAGAAAATCCAGGTCAAGTGAATATGAGTATATATCTCAGAGATACTCAGGCATATCTCTGACTGAATGTAGAGTCTGTATTTGGAAACAAAATACATATTTAAAACACCCACTGTTGTAAATAGATTCTATTCTTTTTCTCACTACCCTGAGTGCAAATATCAAGAATGTTTAGCTTTTTCAGCATTTACATCATTACAAATAGTTTCTCTACTCTACAACCTCATATGTTTCTATATTTCAGGATTGTTGTTGATTTTTATTTTTCTCTATAAATGTTGGCTTCTCTTCTAAGGATTAGAGGAGCATTATTTGAGAGTCCCTGCCTTAAGTGTAATTTAGAGTTGTGCAATGTCAAACCCACTGACAGATTTAGAGATTAATTTCTAGACGTCTTGTGGTGCTAGAGTAGCTCCTTAAGGTTTTGAAAATGGCAACAATATTGACTCCCTACCACTAAAGGTTACCTGTATCCACATTCACCCTAATGCAAAAGGAGAGTTTAAGTGTGGTAAATATCAACGTTGTTTGTTGTTTTGCTTTATGGAAAAAACTGTGCATAGAAAAACAAAAGGCAACTGCCAGAATAAGAAGTAGTTTACCTCCAGAAGAACAGCTTATACAGGTATGTTTCCTCTTTTTATTCAGCAAGTATAACATCACTATTACTACATTAATATTATTCACATAGAAAAAAATAGTTCAGTAGTTTTAAATGGTCATGTCTTAAGGTCAGGTTCCCCAAAAGCACACCCTGAGCCAAAGATTTGAATGTTAGCATTATACAAAAGGAGGGATTTGAGTATGATTTGTAAGCTATTCAGATTGTATTAAGAATTGGTAGAAAAACTTAAAAAAAAATTTGGCTTAGATACATCTCCAACTATGTGTTTTGCTACATTTTGAAAGGTATTTTCAGGGATATTTAATCCATACGTTTCAGTGAGGCTACACGTAAACCATCCAAATGTTATTTTATTACAGCTATGTGATGTCTAAAATGCCTTTTGTGCTTTTAAAAATAGTCTTTCTATTCTTTTCTGAAAAGCAGCAGGTAAGTTGCCAAGAGTAAACAAATCAAATAGTGAAAGGTTTGAGTTCAGTTTGAAACGCTTATCCTATTATTTTTTATTGGGTTCTGAACTTGGCAGCACACATTCCCCATTCGTGCCTGCAGGGCAAAGTGAAAACAATTTGAACACTGTATTTCCCAACTGGTTCACTGACATTTGAGAATAATGTAGTACAGACAGAATCAGCATGTTTGGCAGGTGAGTGATACTTAACATGACCTTGGAAAGTTACTTCCCACCAGTTTGCAGAAGTTCATGGCCTGGAACAACATTGTACATATTACAAAACACAGGTATCGCTTCTCGGCCTTTTGGCTAAGATCAAGTGTACAAAATGCAGGTTAGGACAGACAGCCATCAGGGGATCCATGCTGAGGATTTATCTACTTTTCTCATTTATCTTTAGGTGGAATGGTTGAAAAATGAAGACATAATTGATCCCGTTGAAGATCGGAATTTTTATATTACTATTGATCACAACCTCATCATAAAGCAGGCCCGACTCTCTGATACTGCAAATTACACCTGTGTTGCCAAAAACATTGTTGCCAAGAGGAAAAGTACAACTGCCACTGTCATAGTCTATGGTGAGTGGCCCTTCAGGGTCTCAATCTAGTTCATGTTTAACTGCAGTTTCTCGTTGGCATCGGTAAAGCTAGAAGCCCTTTTTTTAAAATTTCATATTATTTGAGACAGGGTCTTGCTCTGTCACCCAGGCTGGCGTGCAATGGCATGACCGTAGCTCACTCTAGCCTCAACCTCCTAGGCTCAAGGGATACTCCCACCTCAGCATCCTCTGGAGTAGCTGGTATTACAGGCATGTACCACCATGCCCGGTTCTAGAAGCTCCTTTTCAATCTCCATCGCTGCTTGCTTGCTGCTTTTCACAGGGGCAATGAGGTTTAATTGCTTTCCTCGTACTGATATGAAAGGATAGGCTCAGACAACCTCAGCCCTTTCTCAGTCAGCTTCTAGGAAAGCGAAGGAAGCCTACCTGAGTGCCTGCTGCTTCTATAAGCCCTCTTCTCTCCAGAACCTGCACCACCAAGATCTAGATTGAGTTCTAAAGATGAATATGCTTCTGTCAGCCTGCTGATGTTTCTGTGGACCTAACACCTCAGTCTTATCATTGCAAACCCTCAGAAAGCGGGAGCTGACCTATTCCCAAAATACATTAGAGCAATTTTAGCTTCTTATAACTCATTCTACTCACTCCATCAGAGGTGTGCAGAGTGAAGATAAGGGCTGCCTTATCTGGCCAAGTGGCCCTAATCCTAACGATATGCTAAAGTCCAACGAAGCAACTTCTTAGGAAGATTCCTCCCACACCCTGGTCCTTTCTAAGCCAGCTCATCTCTAAACCTATCAATTCTCTGGAAGTACTAAGCAATTTCATACCCCATTCTGATGTGGCACATATGCTTTTATCTCCCTGTGTGGTTTAGCACTCAGTTATTTTCTAGTCATTTCATGAGTAGATTCATCTCCCCAGCTAAAGTTAAGCTCCTTGATAGACTGAGAGACTGGTCTATATATTTACATATTTCTCACAATGTTAGACCTCTAATAGTTCCTCATATTATTGATGTTTTACTGTCTCAGAGGAAATTGAACAACCTGGGAAGTATTTAGAGGTTATGCTACCTCCAGAATGATGTCCCCATGCCTCACCACCTCTTAGAACATAATGAAGATTTTTATCACTGTTTTAGTGTTAAACTCCGTGGGCCTTGGAGTCTTACTGACTGAAGGAGGGGGAGACCCACTGGCAAGTATGTGGCTCATAGTACAGTCAGTCATGTGTCACTTAATGATGGGGACACATTCTGAGAATTGCATCATTAGGTGATTTCATCACTGGGCAAACATCATAGAGTGTATTCACACAAACCTAGATGGTATAGCCTACTGCACACATAGGATAGATGGTATAGCCTATTACTCCTAGGCTACAAACCTGTATACTGTGTTACTGTACAGAATACTGTAGGAAACTGTAACAAAATGGTAAGCATTTATATATCTAAACATAGAAAAGGTGCTATAAAAATAAGATATCAAAGATAAAAAAAAAGATAAACCTGTATAGGGCACTTACTATGAATGAAGCTTGCAGGCCTGGAAGTTGCTCTGGGTGAGTCAATGAGGGAGTAGTGAGTGAATGGGAAGGCAGAGGACATTACTCTACACTGCTGTAGACTTTATGAACACTACACTTAGGCTATAGCACATTTGTAGAAAAAGTAAAGTAATACACCACAATGTTACAACAACTATGAGGTTATTAGGTGATAGGAATTTCTCAGCTTTGTTATAACCTTATGGAACAGACCATTATGGTATATGAAGTCTGTCCTTGACTGAAATGTTATGGGGTACATGATAGGACTGAAGGAGTTAAGAATTTGTCACCCCAAAATATGCCACTTGGCATATTGACTATTTTCTGCATTAAAGGTCCTTGAGAAACAGCGGGCTCAAGATCACTCTGCTAGTCCTGTCTCTTAAAAGCAGGAGAGGAGATTTTCAGCTGAAAGATGGCTTCCCTATACCAGAAGGAAAGTAACATTCTTATCCTCAAGGACAGGAAGTTGAGACCACGGGGAAGTTACGATCCAGATAATTCTGTATCGATCTTATTAAAATAACTCTTAATCTTCTTTTAGCCTTAACACATAATTGACTTTTTCATAACTTGCTACTCTTTGTCCAATTCAATATATAAGCATTCAACTATAACTGCATCTTTGGGTCTTCATTTTCTTAGGCCATGTAAAAGTTATATTAAGTAAATTTACATGTTTTTCTCCTGTTGATTTGTGTTACACCAATTTAATTCTTAGGCCCAGCCAAAAAAAAAATCCTAAAAGAGTGGAAGTAAAATATTGCCTACCCCACAGTACCATTCAGATGGATGTGTGTTTATGAGAAGAGAAACCACTATGCTGTTCCAAAGGATGAATGTAGTGCTGCTTTAAAAATGTCATTTTAATTACAGGAAAAATGGCACAAAAATTTTTTGATCCTCTGATTACCCTGAGGTTTAATTTCCTAGTCCAGATAATGGCTGTGTTGAATTGTATGCAATTGCCTTTCTTAAATCACAATAAAATGTTTTCTTCTTCTTATCTCTTTTTAAACTGCCTGAAAGACTTGATTAACAACATTTGAAATGCAAGAAAGAAATGGGGCACAATCACAGCATGTGCCAGTCATAAATAACTAATGAAGGCAGACTATATATAGTTGTATTATATAGATGTTTAATGCACATGCAAATCTCTTCCTATGTATATTATGCTTTCAATATCCATAAATACAATGAATGTGTTGTCTTTAGGAAGGATCAAACGCAAGTAACTTAGTATTTAGAATTAAGGAAATAGCTTTGGACTGGGGTCAGGAATATTGGGTCATAGGAGTATTTCTGTCACTACCTGATCTTCAGAGGGTCTTTTAACCAGGATTCTCTGAGCCCTTGCCTCCTTCTCTGTAAATGAAGGGATAAACCTACGATCTTCAAAGACTTTTTCATCTCTGAAAATTTCTGATTATTCATTTCTCATTAAAATCCCAGCAGAACAGTACATATATCCTAAACCCCAAATATCAGCTTGCCAGTATGCTAGTAAGCAGTTTATACAGACAATTCCATGGCAGGGAATTTTGTAAACTTGAGCAGGTTAAGTTGCTTTTTGGAACACTCACTGAAACCCTACCTATCTACCATCTGCTTGTCCTTTACATTAACTCCTAAAATAACTTGTCCAAGCCTCATAGGTTGGACTCACCAGAACTCCATAGAAAACATATATATCTAACCAGTATTTCATATTTAGCAACTGTTTTATATATTTTTTGTTAATGTAATTTTTAGATTGCAAATATACATCCATTAAAGAAAATTTGGAATACAGAAAAGGTCAAAGAAGAAAATACCTATACCTATAATTCTGCCACCCAGAGATAGCATTTAAACAAAAATTATATGTATACTACTTGAATTTTCTTTCTTTTTTTTTTATTTTTTTATTTGAGACAGGGTTTCACTGTCGCCCAGGCTAGGGTGCAGTGGCGCAATCTTGGCTCCTGTAACTTCTGTCTCCTGAGTTCAAATGATCCTCCCTCCTCAGCCTCCCAAGTACCTGGGACTACAGGCATGTGCCATCACACCTGGTTAATTTTTGTATTTTCTGTAGAGATGAAGGCTAGTCTCAAACTCCTAGACTCAAGCAATCTGCCCATCTTGGCCTCCCAAAGTACTGGGATTATAGGCATGAGCCACTGCACCTGGCATATACTACCAGTACTTTATATGTATACATAAGATTTAAAAATAAGCATTATACATTGTTATATTATACATCTTTTATAATTTAAAATGTATAAATACATATTAAGTATTGTATACATATTATATAAAATTATATACATATACATTATGCATAATGTATCCATAAACATTACTTTTATTTAAAACATACTGAAACATTCATGTATTATTTATTTATTTGGAGAGAGGGTCTCACTCTGTTGCCCAGGCTGGAGTGTAGTGATGTGATCATAGCTCACTGCAGCCTCTACTCCTGGGCTCAAGGGATCCTTCTGCCCCAGCCTCCTGAGTAACTGGGTCTATATACACATGCTGACATGACCTGCTAATTTTTTTTTTTAATTTTTGTGGAGCTAGGGTGTTGCTATGTTGCCCAGGCTGGTCTTGAACTCTTGGTCTCAAGCAATACTCTCTCCTTGGCTTCCCAAAGTGCTTGGGTTACAAGCATGAGCCACTGCACCCAGCCTCATGAATTATTAAATAGCCTTCTACAGTATCACTTTTAATGGCTGTCCAGGAGTCCATTACATGAACATATGTGGCTGGCTTTGCCATTGTCTTGTTTTTGAACATTACAGTTGTTTCCAATTATTCATCTTTATATTAAATAAAGTTGCTGTAAAAAATGTTTCTGTCTGTAAATATAACATTCATGATTATTCCCTATTGTATAGGTTTCTAGAAAACAAAATATTGGGCAAATGCTGTGCACATATAAGGTTTGTGTTACTTGAATGGCTAATACACTTCTTTAGTATCAGGAAACAGATGCATATACTAGTTGTATTATATTTTAGCTACAAGGAAATAATTTTGTTAGAAATTGTTTAATTACAATATTGTACAGACTCACATTATTGAAGTATTAAAAATATATATCAAAGTATTTTCTAAAGAGAGGTCTGCAGAACTGAATAGTGTGCAGTCTTACGGTGTAGGTTTTACAATCACATATGCTGACAGCTCCATCAGACATCATAATTGGCCTTTATACACAAAGTAAGTGTTTATTTCAATATCAACTAATCGCCAAGTAACTCAAATAGC
Source organism: Homo sapiens (assembly GCF_000001405.40). NCBI lineage: Eukaryota > Metazoa > Chordata > Mammalia > Primates > Hominidae > Homo > Homo sapiens. The sequence goes on along the minus strand of NC_000004.12, from coordinate 95,245,693 downwards.
CAGTCAATTTGTTTATAACCCCAGTACTGTAAGATTTTATTTTTTAACCAGGTTCACTGGTTTGTGCAAGTGAATAAAAATCCTTAAAACGTTGTAAAGTTTACATATGCTTAAAAAATCAATCTTTTTTTTAAGGCTAAATTATTTTATTCTGTTCCCATGCTATAGATTGACTTGCAGGCTTTTCATAGAGATGTAAACATTTATTATTTGAGACGAGCTGTCAAAAGTAATTTTGGAGCTTGACTAGGTGAGGAGATAGGTGTATTTTTTAAGAACACTGGCCAAAGAAAAGAGAACACATACAGTCCTATTTATTTTTCTGAGTAGGTGAGTAAATCTTGACAAACTTTTTTTTTTCTCTGTCTATACAATAAAACTTTGGATAAAATGAGGTCCATGGTCTCTTCTGGCTTTGAAATTTTGGATTTTTATAATGGTCGCTTGGAAAATAACTCTTTGTTTACATATTGTGTCTGTTTTGTGTGTCCATGTGTGTTGTGCATGCACACATGTTTAATCCACTTTTTACTGTTTGCCTCCTTTCAGTCAACGGTGGCTGGTCCACCTGGACGGAGTGGTCTGTGTGTAACAGCCGCTGTGGACGAGGGTATCAGAAACGTACAAGGACTTGTACCAACCCGGCACCACTCAATGGGGGTGCCTTCTGTGAAGGGCAGAGTGTGCAGAAAATAGCCTGTACTACGTTATGCCCAGGTAAATAAACCAGTCCTCTCATTCCAAGTATCTCCTATTATTCAAGAAACATGCTTTTAGAGAATAGATACACAGACTTTATTCTTGATCTGAATGTGTGATGAACGTTATTTAAATCCATCCTACTCACTGTTTACATTGCTGGGAAATCAAGTATTTTCCTCCAAAAGAATACTTAACTTTGTTACCAAAACATGCAAAATTGTACAAAACAGGAGATTAAACACTACTGGATATAATCCCTTTATATTATTCAACAAAACTGCTGGGGCCAAGATTGCAGATTTTATAATTCAAAGGATTTGAATGGCACTGGAAGCCACACATTTTAGGAATAACAATCCTTGATCTTCAGAAAACCGTAGAAATTAATTGGAACTGAAATTTAGAAAATGTTTTAGATGGAAATATTTTATATTTGGTGTCAGTTTCTGGTGAAGGGCAAATACAACATTTGAAATGAATTATAAGGAATGCAAAGTTTTTTGGTACTTGGGATAATGGATTCTGAAACTACAATGCAGTCAGTTCTTTGTTATCTGTAAATGTTGGTCATCTATTTTTTTGTTATTTGCTGTAGTACCTACAGCAAGAGTGCATGCATCTCTCCACCTCTTAGCATCTTTCTGTACTATCTCATATTGCTACCAGCTCTTATCCCTAGGTAAATCGAAGATAATATTTGCCAAAAGCAAAAACAAAACCCTTTAAAATGCCTCGTTATACAATATATTCCAAAGCTAAGCTAAAATTTTGAAATAATCCATAAATTTACTGCACTCATTGGAGTAGCTATTGTGTTTTCAATTTTATTGTTCAGATACACAGCCTCCTTACTTCTCCTTTTTGCCTAATTTGGTCATGTTTATCCTTTAACCTTTATCTTTTAACCTTTCTCAGAGATGGGCTGGACAAATGAACTGGAGAGATATACATAATCTACACTTTACATTCCCAAGTGTTGATTTCCAAATGTCAGAGCAGTCTCCCACAGTGAGCCCTTTGAGAGCTTTTATTTATGAAACAAATTTTGACACTTAGCTAGCTTAAAATTTCAGATTTTGTTTTATAGGAGCTGACTCCCACAATTAAAAATGCACTGATCAATTAGAGTTGAAATAGAAATGTGTGTGTGTGTGTGTCAGTGTTTTGGTACACTGGATTGGTGCAGGTCAAAGCAAATGTTTTTGCTCTAAGTAGTTGGGACTTGCTTATACAGCCAGTTCTGTATGACTGAAATATTAATGCTTTTCTCATTTTTCATGTGGGTATGTTTATAACCATATCCACATTATACACAATATATTTACATAATAATTTGAATATGAAATCACTTAGATTTCTCAAACTATGTAGACTATTAAAATGATATAATTTTTACTAATATGTAGATATAAAAGGTTAAGGTGTTCAAGAAATGATGTTTAGCATTGTTTTACATTGAATCCTTGATCATCATAATTATATATTTCAGGGAAAATTAATATTTTAAAGCTCTTATTTCAATATTTTTATCCTATTTTTGTGAGAAGCTTAAGCTGCATTTTGAAGTGTGATTGAAATTTACTATATCTTTTTTCAAACTGAGACTTAAGTTGTGTGCTTTTAAAATAGAGATATCTAAGTTCATTATCTTTGAAGTTGCTGACAAGCCAGCCACCAAAATTAGGAAGAAAGTAAGTCAGTTCTAAATGACTGAATCACAAGAAATATTAGGGACTTACCTAAAATTTTTTAATAAAAATAGAAACAGAAACATCATCAAATAATAAATGAAAAATAATAGTGTTTTCATGAAAACATTACAGGTTTCAGCAGAATCAAGCAGGCCAGATGAAAAAAGTAAAATAAAAAGACTATATAAAATGCAGTTGAAAGAGAAGAGATAAATAGATATATACCAACTGGATGAATGAATGGAAGGTTGGATAGATTTCTTCTCCACCGTACCAACCTCTTCTCTGAATTCTCACATGAGCTTACTTTCACTGTCCACATGGCCCTAGGAATGAAGGAATCCTGGATCCAAAGAGAGCCCTCCTAATTTTCAATACAAAACCCAGAAGCTCCCCCATTAATAGGAAAAGGGAAACCATCATGGCCTACTTTTACATAGCTCCTGGTGACAACTTTGGATTTTGTATGTCTCAGTCAGCCTCCCTTGGCTTGGTCAATGAGAAAGCACTCACACACTCTATAGGAAAAGCTCACCAAACCCAAATGATGTAGAACATGCAGTTCCCAGCAATTGAAATGAATACAGTGCTTCTCAGTAGGGCATGCTTGTTCTTGTTTTGTTTTGTTGTATTATATTTGAGCTCTGCTCCATCCCTTAAGCAGCTGCCTCTCCCTCTGACCTCCTGCTGCATTTTTTCCATGGCAGTGGATGGCAGGTGGACGCCATGGAGCAAGTGGTCTACTTGTGGAACTGAGTGCACCCACTGGCGCAGGAGGGAGTGCACGGCGCCAGCCCCCAAGAATGGAGGCAAGGACTGCGACGGCCTCGTCTTGCAATCCAAGAACTGCACTGATGGGCTTTGCATGCAGAGTAAGTCAATTTAAGCAAACTGCAGACATTGAGGGGGCTGGAGATTGAACCATTTGGAGTTTTTTAAGGAAACATTAGAAATAAAGAATTCTTTCAACAACAATAAAATGCAATAACATAGCAATATTCTAGCTTGCTCTCAAAATTGGAAAAAGCGAATTTTCCAGGAACCAGAATAAAAAGTAACTATGTCCGGCTAACAAATGGCATGCAATATTGCTTTTTCATGAGCAAGGGTTGATTCTATCACTTATATGGAAGGGAACCATTACTTAGTTTTATCAGAAAGCACAAAAGAGCACTCTAAACTCCTCACAGAGTCAAAACAAGACTTCTAAAATGTAAGCCGTTTATTCTTAATTCATGGCAGGTACCTAACGAAAATGTCCATGGAGTGTAAAATAGATGTAAAGATGACAAACATTTCTGTAGGTAGATTTACCTTAGAACGAATGTTTAGTGAGAACATCTCTGCAACCTCTTGAAAATTCTGGGTTTGTATTAGAAATTATAATGCGGGTATGATTTAGTTTATTTAAAGGAAATAAATATTGATAAAGCATACATTTTTAAAATGAGTGCCGAAGATTGGCTCAGGAATGTAATGGGTGCTATAAGCTAGATATTCTCCATTTTTTTCACGTCTTTGTTCTTTAGATTTTCTTAATTAAGTGGTAGTTTGATTTCATACTTGCAAACTCTGACCCCTTTATTGAGGAGCCCTCAGATGTACACAGTTTACTATCTCTTTTCATGACCATAAATTGAGGTATTAAGAATTATTCTGAAATCATACCTATTCAGATTAATGGATCAAAAAATGTGCTGTCTTTGGATCTGAACTAATGGTTGTCTAGTGTTGACATTTCTCATAATACATTACACATTGCTAGCAGAATACAAGCAGCTGAAGGTGTTTGTGCAAAGGTATTTGTACTTGTCATTTAAGAATAAAATATTTTGTTTTTACCACACTTATGAAATCCTGTTTACTTTTCAGAGTCTATACACACAGGAACCTTTAGAAAGATATCTTACTTAAAATACAAATAAACAATTATGTTGCTCACACAGAATAAAAATCCAATAGGCCTCTTATTTTTATGTTCAGGGTACACTGCATTCCCCAAGAACGGGCTGCTGCTGAGTGTATAAAGCACAGCTTCTGGTAATGATGTGGGGCCTGCCACTGTGAACCTCACAAGTTTGTACTAGAAATGCATAAATGAAAATCGGCTTTGCTAACCATTTATCTAGAGGTACAGAGTTTGTTTGGGTTGAGGATTAAAATAGCAACATACCACATACAAGTTAGTCTTTTTAACATTTTCATCACTTAGTATTTTTCCTTTACTCTAGAACAAACTGATTCATGCGATTGCAAAGTAGAAATAGTTGGACTTTTTCTATCTTTCTGCCTTTCACGTTCTTTCTCTCTCAATGTACTATTTCAATCTTGGGTGATTTAATGCCTACTACTTCCATTGTGCATATTTACAAATCCTCAGAACAACCTCTTTAACAAGGAATACAATGCCACGAGACAGAACCTTTTATTAGTCATAGAAAATGTCACATTTTAAATTATGACAAATACAAACATGATATATTCAAACTAAGACTTTCATGACATAGCAACCCCTTAGCTTCTAGATCATTTCTTAGGCATTCATAGAATTTTTTCCTTATGATTGGATATTTGCCAGTAATGATGGCATGAAGTGTGTGTCTATTGACAGGGAAGAGGAATGAGGCTATAGGAGGAGATTTTTTAGTTGTTTGTTTGTTTGTGTTTGTGTTTGTTTTTGTTTGTATTTTTATCACGTCTCTTGTTTGATGGAAACATTTTGCTGTTCGGGTTAAAATCATTCCATTTAAAGCTATTTATTTCTGCAGCTCTGATTTGCTATAGTAACAATCCCTACTAAGTCAATAAACTCTTTCATCTGCCCTCCTGTATCCACTCCAGTCCAACAGAGAATTGTAGTCTATATCACTATTGATTTCCTCAGTGATAAAACCACAGAGATATTCTGCACTGTGTAATTACAGTATTTTACAGTGAAAGCTATAGTTTCTGTTTACCAGTTAGTTTAGTGTATCTGGGACAGCATTACTGCCAAAGTCTTGTAAAAAAATAATATTGTTTGGCCATTATTTTGGAAAACAAAGGCTTCTAACAGTGAAAGTGCAAAGTTCGCAAGAGGGACAAGGTCAGTATTAAGAAAAAGAATGGGAGTAGAAAAGATAGCCAGAAAGTTGTAATCAGCAATTAGGAATTATCATTTAATATTTATTTCCTTTGGGAGAATTAGTGTCTGGAATGCATTAATAAATAGTCCTTCAATGATATCACAATTTATCTCAAAATAAAGCTAGTCTACTTTCAGTGAACCAGGTAAGAACTACAACCTCTGAATCTATTCAAAATTGTATACAAATAATTCTGATATAAATGTAGGTGTACTGCTAGATAGGAGAAATTCAGAGTTCATAATGGATGTTAGTAGGATTCAGAGTTACCTAGATAATGTAGCATAATATTTTTTCAAAAGCTAACTTGGTACTTAAGAGGAATACAATGTGAAATATATAGAAAATATTACTGTTGATATTTATTTGTTAATTTGTTCAAAACGAATTCAGATATATTTCCTTGTTAAGCGCTTAATACAAACACCTTTGACTGAAAATATATTAAAATGTTGGATAAAATATTGCAAACTTAGTAGAGACATACATGTGCATGCAGAAAGAGAGAGAGAGAAAATACGTGGTCCAAAAGAAAGAAATTAGAGAAATCCTCAAATGCCAAAAATGAAGCTGCAACTCCAAGCTAGAGAGGTAACGGTGTGAGTGGACACCAATATAACCAGGAGCGGGGAGCTGGATATGGACATGGGTCCCGGGGACTGGAAATCAGGGTTTCAGTTTTGGCACAGAGAAGAAGTCCTGGCTTTGTGAGACCTAGACTTGGAAATAAGAACCCTAAAGAAAGCTGAAACTCACAAATGCCTGACCTACCCACAAGAAACAACTATAACATTTTTGCCCACCAGCCAAGGGAAGACATAGAAAAAAGTGGTAGGAAAAGGGAAATGAAGACTTCATTTAAATAAAACCCATAGTAAAACCATAACCTCACCCTAGCTCTGGTATGGAATCTAAGATACAGTGCTAGAAGCAAAACACGAAAGATGTATAATTAAGCTTCTAGGACACCAGCAGAGCAAACAGCAAGCCACTATCTAAGTTTCCTTTCATAACTAAGTTCATTAGTCTAAGACAAAAATAAGCCACACCTGTCAATAAGCTTACAATACAAAGTTCCCAATCACCCAAGAAAATTGTCCACTGTAAGGGAGAGTCAGCAATAATAAATGAGTTAGCAGTCTACTAACATGAACTCATAGAGCAATCTGAAGGAAACTATAGAGTAAAGTAGATGTAAAAAGACAAACCATATTTTTAAAAGGAACATAAGCACAAATGAAATAACAGAATATTGTTAAAAAGACAGATTTGGAGAAAAAAACAAATGGAATGTCTAGAGAGGAAGGCATAATGATTGAAATTTAAAACTCATTGGAAGATGAAAAATCAGATACAGCTTTAGATAAAGCTGAAGAGAAAATTTATAAACTGGAATGTAGATCTTATGAAACTTCTCACAATACAGGGAAGTTTTGTTAATACATAAGTGAATATGTAAAAGAGAGAATAAAACTAATGGAGGATAGAATGAGAAAATCCAACATTTACTGAATAAAAGAACAAAATTTAAAAGATTTTCAGGTAATCAAGATAGAGAGGATTTATTACTCATAAACCTTACTGAGTAAACTACTGAAAATGAAAAACAACAATTGGTTCCTTAAAATAAGATGAGACCAATTGAGGAGAAGCTGAAAATAAGATGGAGCTAAATGGTAGACAATATTAACATGGAATATGGGAAGGTGCAAACTAAGTTAAAAATTTCCATTTTCTATATATTGCTCAGGAAAAGAATAGTAATGGTATTTACATTAGACTTCCTTGATTCCACTGTTATAGCTAAAATGTTAAGACTTGAGTACACACATAAAAATTGAATGCATAAATTCAAAATAAAAATTTTAAGGGTAGGAAATTGGCAAAAGGAAAACTAGTAAATTAAAACAATAAATGAGATGGTGGAAATAAAGCTACATATATCAGGGATCATAATGTAAATGAATTAAACTCACCTGTAAAAGGAAATCCAAAATTGTAGAAAAAAACTCAGTTTTATTCTGTTTATGAGTCACATACTTAAATCATAATTATAGGAAAAGATTGAAAGTTAAGAAATGGAACTTACAGTATTGTTGAGTATGTAGGTATGTATGTATGTATGTATGTATTTATTTAGAGACGGAGTCTTGCTCTGTCGCCAGGCTGGAGTGCAGTTGCACTCGGCTCACTGCAACCTCTGACTTCCTGGTTCAAGTGATTCTCCTGCCTCAGCCTCCTGAGTAGCTGGGATTACAGGCACACACCACCACACCCAGCTAATTTTTGTATTTTTAGTAGAGACAGGGTTTTACCATGTTGGCCAGGATGGTCTAGATCTCCTGATCTCGTCATCTGCCGCGTCGGCTTCCCAAAGCAGGATTACAGGCGTGAGCCACTGCGCCGGGTCTGTTCAGTATTTATTTTAACATGTCCAATTAATGGCTTTTACTATCTGATTGGGCTATTCTTTATTCAATTCCATTTCCCATTATACCTAAGTAATATATATTAGAGATCATTTTTGACTCATAGTTTGAATATAGAGTTTTATTATGGGCTTTATAGTTTTTAGAATGCTTAATTTCAACTGAAAAATTAATCAAAAGTTTTCTAAATTGTTTACCAGTTTGATAGTGTTTGGATAAGACATGTTAGAAATCTATTTCTTTCCTCAAATTTGACACCAATTGAAATTTTTCATAAAAAGGCTTTGAAGGTTACTTATAAAACTAATGAATACTTTAAAGATATAATAATGCTAAATGTTAAACAAATGTGTAGTTAAGTGGAAACTTTTGTACTTTGCTAATGGGAATAAAAATTTTTATGGGGAAGCAATTTGACAATATAAGTCAAGAGTTTTAAAGTTATCATACCCTTTGACCCAATAATTCTACTTGAATGCATAAGTTTTAAGTAATTAGTATGAATAGCTAAAAATATATACAGTCAGCCCTCTGTATCAGTGAGTTGCACATCTGTGGATTCAACCAAGTGCAGGTCAAAAATATTTTTAAAAACAATAAAAAAATACAACAATTAAAAATAAAATGTTAAAATACAGTATAACAATTTATTTAACATTTAAATTGTATTAGGTATTATAACCAACCTAGAGATGGTTTAAAGTATACATGAGGATGTGCATAGGTTACATGCAAATACTATGCCATTTTACATAAGGGACTTGAGCAATCTCTGATTTTGGTGTCGATGGTCAGGGGTGGTTCTGGAATCAATCCTCCTTGGATACTGAGGAGCAGCTGTATGCCAACTATGTCTATATTCTTTGTTATTGTAAAAAATGTAAAACCCAAAAGTCTAATATTAGGATGATGGTTAAGTAACACATAGTACTTCCATTAAATGGAACATCATTTATGATGTCCGCTAAAATATTTATGAGGTTTTAACATGGAAAAGCAGAATATGGATTTATATATGTATTTAGTGATAAGCGTGTAAAGGTATGCTTAGTAAAAGATGAATGAAACTTATGAATTTTCTGGGATAATGAGATTACAAGTATTTTTTTTCTTTTTCTATATGCTTTCTATTCTTTTTTTTCTTTTATTTATTTATTTTTTATTATTATACTTTAAGTTCTAGGGCACATGTTCACAACATGCAGGTTTGTTACACATGTATACATGTGCCACGTTCGTGTGCTGCACCCATTAACTCGTCATTTACATTAGGTATATCTCCTAATGCTATCCCTCCCCCCTCCCCCAACTGCTCAACAGGCCCCGGTGTGTGATGTCCCCCTTCCTGTGTCCAAGTGTTCTCATCGTTCAATTCCCACCTGTGAGTGAGAACATGCGATGTTTGGTTTTTTGTCCTTGCGATAGTTTGCTGAGAATGATGGTTTCCAGCTTCATCCATGTCCCTACAAAGGACATGAACTCATCCTTTTTATGGCTGCATAGTATTCCATGGTGTATATGTGCCACATTTTCTTAATCCAGTCTATCATTGTTGGACATTTGGGTTGGTTCCAGTTCTTTGCTATTGTGAATAGTGCTGCAATAAACATATATGTGCATGTGTCTTTATAGCAGCATGATTTATAATCCTTTGGGTATATACCCAGTAATGGGATGGTTGGGTCAAATGGTATTTCTAGTTCTAGATCCCTGAGGAATCGCCACACTGTCTTCCACAATGGTTGAACCAGTTTACAGTCCTACCAACACTGTAAAAGTGTTCCTATTTCTCCACATCCTCTCCAGCACCTGTTGTTTCCTGACTTTTTAATGATCACCATTCTAACTGGTGTGAGATGATATCTCATTGTGGTTTTGATTTGCATTTCTCTGATGGCCAGTGATGATCATTTTTTCATGTGTCTTTTGGCTGCATAAATGTCTTCTTTTGAGAAGTGTCTGTTCATATCCTTTGCCCACTCAAAAACAAGAAACGGGGAAAGGATTCCCGATTTAACAAATGGTGCTGGGAAAACTGGCTAGCCATATGTAGAAAGCTGAAACTGGATCCCTTCCTTACACCTTATACAAAAATTAATTCAAGATGGATTAAAGACTGCAATGTTAGACCTAAAACCATAAAAACCCTAGAAGAAAACCTAGGCAATACCATTCAGGACATAGGCATGGGCAAGGACTTCATGACTAAAACACCAAAAGCAATGGCAACAAAAGCCAAAATTGACAAATGGGATCTAATTAAACTAAAGAGCTTCTGCACAGCAAAAGAAACTACCATCAGAGTGAACAGGTAACCTACAGAATGGGAGAAAATTTTTGCAATCCACTCATCTGACAAAGGGCTAATATCCAGAATCTACAATGAACTCAAACAAATTTACAAGAAAAAAACAAACAACCCTATATGCTTTCTATTCTATACATTATTTATGCTTAGTATTCCATTATGTTTATAATAATAAATGACATTTTTTAAAAAGAACTGTTGAGGATAGGCCACAGCATGGTCTTGGAAGCATGGCTCTCTGAATTTAAGAACTAGCAATGTCACTGACTTTGGTCACATTGATTCAAATTAGATTACCAAAAAAGTATTTGCATAAAATACTTGTATAAAACCCTAGTTGTATGAAACCCTAGGGTGCAAGACTTATAGCCAGTAACACAAGTATTTTGAAGACATGGGGATTTGGAACTGAATTATAGTTTTACATTATTTCCCAGTTGCCTATCACATACAGATATATAGACACATATCTGTCCTTGCAATCATAATTTAAACTCTTATACTGTGTGATAACTTGGATTCATTATGTGATATTGTGTAATTTCATTTGTGAAATATAATCGTGGTCTTAAACAATTTCAGAAGCTCTATTACATTTTTATACCACTCATACATAGTAGTTCATATTGTAAGTACTGTGTAACATATAATATATATGTATTACACTGGATAAAGTCTCACTGGCCTGAAAAAGTAGTTCCTACGCTGGAGATAATCAATGCCTTGGTGCCTTCAAATTAAGACCTTTACAAAATTGATGTTATTTCACCAGAATGCATTACTAAAGAGTAATTAGAAGCCATCAGAATCACTTAAGGTGCCAGAAATAACTTGGACATTTTGGGTTCATAAGCACATACTTAATTGTTTTCAAAACTACATTTTAAAAAGTGGAGTTCTGTGGTACACTAAATGACATGGATTGCATTGAATAAGAAAGGTAAGTTAAATGACGAGTTAATTGGGTGCAGCACACGAACGTGGCACATGTATACATATGTAACTAACCTGCAAGTTGTGCACATGTAACCTAAAACTTAAAGTATAATAAAAAAAAGGTAAGCGATTTGGCGTGTTTGTTGCTATTGAAAATAATTGAAAATATATGTCTGATCTAAAAAAACTTAACATTAATAACAAATATCAGTTTTTACTTAATAATACTACAGAATCAGTATTGGAAGACCAGTTGTACTGTGTACATATTAAAATACTTAGGTTTCTTTATATCATCCCTAAACTGATGTGAAAGCAGCCACCCCCCACATTTTACAATATATTTTTGAAATAGGCTTTACATTAAATGGTTATGACAAGAGAGAGAGACACAGAGAACAGGACACATAGAAAGATACAGAAGAAGCAGAAAACACTTAAGAAATCTCAAAAAATGCTAAGACAATAAGCATATTATATTTACCTTTTAAGTTGAAATACAATTGTATTACTGAGACCTGATAACTTTTAACTTTTATAATCTTTTCTTTCCTTTTTTTTTTAAATGTGATGGAGTCTCATTCTGTTGCCCAGGCTGGAGTGCAGTGGCGCCATTCTGGCTCACTGCAACCTTCTGCCTCCTGGGTTTAAGCAATTCTCCTGCCTCAGCCTCCTGAGTAGTTGGGATTACAGGCATTCGCCACCCTACCCACCTAATTTTTGTATTTTTAATAGAGATGGGGTTTCACCATTTGGCCAGGCTGGTCTCGAACTCCTGACCTCAAGTGATCTGCCCACCTCAGCCTCCCAAAGTGCTGAGATTACAGGCCTGAGCCACCACATGGGGCCTAACTTTTATAATCTTTATAATGAATTTTTAGTAAGATCTATTTGTCATGGATAGCATATAATATGAATAGTTTAATCACTGCTTACTTCTTCCTTTTGAAAATAGCAATTCAATACTATATATATGGCCTAGTCCAGAAATGCAAATTTATATATATATTTATCAATACAGTAGATTGGATTATTAAGTTACTGCAACCATTCCTATAGATTTTAGTTTTTATTCTCTTTGTAAGTTTGGAGTTTCTCATAGGGATTTTTAACAGTTCAAATCTGAACTTAGAATTACTCCTTGCTGAAGACGGTTCATGCCACAGTAGACAAATTTAAAATTGTAATTTACTAACAAGAACTGCTTGGAATTGTGTCTGCATCAGTGAACTTCCTGACTTTGGGAAATTAAAATGTTAGGCATTCTGCAAAGTTAGCACTTTCAACTCATTAAAAAAATTACACGTCACACAGCTCTTCTATTAATTCTCAGAAGTACAGAGGAAGTGGCAGAGCTCTCCATGTGTAAACTGTGGTGTGGACACACTGCATACCAGGGCCCCCAGAAGCCCAGGTGGATTTAATGTGGGGAAGTAATTTACCTTACAAATACTCATTTCTTGACTTTAGAATGATACGTTTATAACCGCCTGTGGTAGGCATTTGAGAAGGTGCTAGTCATTTCCCAGTGAAATTCTTGTCAACACAGCAGTTTGATAGGAAAGCATAATTGTGAGTGGTAGACAGTGAGAGCTTTTATCCATAGTTGGAAGAAGTTGATGTCATAGCTGTGTTTGTGTAGTTCTTGATATGTGTAGCGTCCCAGCTGGCAAATAAATATTCTGTACATGGCCTGCCTGCCCAACACAATGCTACACAGTGTCCGGTATAATAAGTGTGGTTTGCTTTTGTTTTCCTTTCTGGTAAAACATTTTCCTGGTTTTGAAAGCAGGGATGTGGTTAGAAACTTTAGCCTACAGAAGCCTAATGAACACCTACGGAGCACCAAACAGGTTAGAAAACAAATGCAAGGTCTTTAGATTCTAGGTGGAAAGGGACCTCTGAGGGGATCAAGAAAGGTGCCACCAAGCCAGCAACTACAGCAAAGCATGGGCTCCTTCGAGATCACGGGGGTGCAGGTCCAGGGCTGCAAGCTCAATTTTCTTCTTGCTAGAAATCTAGCAGATAGGTTCATGTATTCTAGAAGTCAGTCACCTTATACATCAGGACTCTTCATCATTTTACTTTTTCTATCAGGTGTCTTTACTACCATGGAGGGGTTCTGGTATCATTGCTTTTGGATTTATAATTTATTTTTCTTTTCTAAGAAGCATTGACGGGGATAGAGTCCATTATATAATATAACACTTATATAAAACATATATAATATGTTTTATAATATAGTTTACATAATATAGTTTATGTAATATATTATAGTTTATATAACACTTATATAAAACATAATATAGTTTATATAACACATATAAAAACACTTGAGTAGCTGATCTATGAGTTTGATATTAATGAACTTAGTTTAAATTTCAGGCATTTATGCTTCACCTACTGTGAATCATGAGATAAGACATTTACATCCTGGGATGTTAATTATCTACTATTCATTTTCAGAAGGGTGTGGCTGGTCACTGTAAGGAACAGGGCTATGAACCAGCTTAGTGAGGTGTGGCCATTGTCCTCAGCAGGCTGGAGCAGTAAATTACCATGGCAATTTAGATAACTGACATCAGTGATAAGCAAATGTTCTTTTTAATTGTTGTTGTCATGTCCTAGGATTTATGTATTCATTTATTTGGAGTTCCTTAAGCCCTATCAATAAATAAACCCTCAGAAGAGTGGTAAATTATAATAAATGACCCTGGGTGTCTTTGACAGACCTGACCTTTGACATCATTAGTGCAGCCCTGATGGGTTTGCTAGATAAGAGCTGACCTTAAAGGATAAAAGAAAATCTGGACATGTTTATTTTGAATGGCCCTTGAGGTTTTAATAAGAACATTTGCATCAGAACAAATGTAATTGGGGTGAAAAAATTGCCCATGTTTTGGCTTAGTGTAAAGTAACTGGCAAAAAAGAAGACCAAGCGGCCAGGTCAAGGAGAGGGGATTCTTCTAAGGATAGGATCAGAAAATGAGGAACAATCTTATCAAGTAGCCTAGTGGACTTAGAGTAGATAAATATTACTAAAACTAACCAAGACCTTTGTGACCTAAAAATAGCTACTTTTTTAGAATATGTTTAATGCTTTTATAAATGACATTATGTCATATGCATAACTTGCATCCTAGCCACCCCCATAAGATATGAATCTATCATCTATTGTGCTTAATCCCCACAGTATCCTAAAATCTATTTACGGGTATTAAGGTCATAGAAGCAGCTCCATATTGAAATGTAATGAGTAAACCTCAAAGGCAAGCAGGACACCTCCTAAAACTCTACCTATCTCTTTTTTGGCCAAGTATCTGATACTAATGTAAAGACAAGGTTTTAATGCCCAGACACCTACATATAGACTTTAGAGGGCATAAAAAGTACCATATCTTATATGGTAGTTTAAAGATATTTCAGATTTCATTTTAATTCTGTTTGCTGTCCACCTAATACATTGATTTTAGGCCCTGGCATTAGTTGCTTCTGACCCCAGTCTACTGTGTCAGACATGACCAAGTTAAGAAAAAATTGAATTGAGCTCAATTTAATTAATACTCAAAAGGTAGAAAAAAAACCTTACAAACAGAACTTTTGTTAATCCCCTAACAATAGTTCTCTTTTACAAAGGAAGAAACTGAGGCATATAATTGAAACAGCCCTCCCAACATCCACAGATGAGTGCTGGAGCCAATGTGTGAAGGCAGATCTGTCTCATTTTTAAGCCTGTTCTCATGCAGGATCTTGGATGCCAGAAGCAAGTGGTTGTCAGCTTTTATTGCTTTAAAATAGGCAAAGGATGCCCTATTTAATGAATGGTGTTGGGAAAACTGGCCATATGCAGAAAACTAAAACTGGACCCCTTCCTTACACCTTATACAAAAATTAACTCAAGATGGATTAAAGACTTAAATGTAAGACATAAAACCATAAAAACCCTAGAAGAAAACCTAGGCAATACCATTCAGGACATAGGCATGGGCAAAGACTTCATGACTAAAACATCAAAAGCAATGGCAACAAAAGCCAAAATTGACAAATGGGATCTAATTAAACTAAAGAGCTTCTGCACAGCAAAAGAAACTATCATCAGAGTGAACAGGCAACCTACAGAATGGGAGAAAATTTTTGCAATCTATCCATCTGACAAAGGGCTAATATCCACAATCAACAAGGAACTTAAACAAATTTATAAGAAAAAAACAACCCCATCAAAAAGTGGGCAAACAATAAGAACAGACATTTCTCAAAAGAAGACATTTATGCAGCCAACAAACATGAAAAAAAGCTCATCATCACTGGTCATTAGAGAAATGCAAATCGAAACCACAATGAGATACCATCTCACACCAGTTAGAATGGTGATCATTAAAAAGTCAGTAAACAGGCTGGGCACAGTGGCTCACACCTGTAATCCCAGCACTTTGGGAGGCTGAGGCAGGTGGATCACCTGAGGTCAGGAGTTCGAGACCAGCCTGGCCAACATGGTGAAATCCATTTCTACTAAAAATACAAAAAATTAGTTGGCCATGGTGGCAGACGACTGTAATCCCAGCTACTCGGGAGGCTGAGGCAGGAGAATCGCTTGAACCCAGGAGGTGCAGGTTGCAGTGAGCCAAGATCGTGCCACTGCACTCCAGCCTGGGCAATGAGAGTGAAACTCCGTCTCAAAAAAAAAAAAAAAAAAAAAAAAAAAAAAGGAAACAACAGATTCTGGGGAGGATATGGAGAAATAGGAATGCTTTTATACTGTTGGTGGGAGTGTAAATTAGTTCAACCATTGTGGAAGACAGTGTGGTGATTCCTCAAGGATCTAGAACCAGAAATACCATTTGACCCAACAATCCCATTACTGGGTGTATACACAAAGGATTATAAATCGTTCTACTATAAAGACACATGCGCACATATGTTTATTGCAGCACTGTTCACAATAACAAAGACTTGGAATCAACCCAAATGCCCATCAATGATAGACTGCTTAAAGAAAATGTGGCACATATACACCATGAAATACTATGCAGCCATAAAAAAAGGATGAGTTCATGTTTTATTGCAGGGACATGAATGAAGCCGGAAACCATCATTCTCAGCAAACTAACTCAGGAACAGAAAACCAAACACTGCATGTTCTCACTCATAAGTGGGAGTTGAACAATGAGAACACACCAACACAGGGAGGGGAACATGGAACATCGGGGCCTGTCGGGGTGGGGGGCTAGGGGAGGGATAGCATTAGGAGAAAACCTAATGTAGATGACAGGTTGATGGGTGCAGCAAACCACCATGGCATGTGTATACCTATGTAACAAACCTGCACATTCTGCACATGTATCTCAGAACTTGAAGTATAATTAAAAAAAATGGAATTTTCTTCTGATGTGTAGAGCTCCTCCAATTATTGATGTTTATTCCTTTTTTCCACATGGCATCATTTTTGAGGGAAATGATGTTTCTCCTTTAAATATTTACTTATAGGGTTTTATGCCAAATGCAATGTGATTATCATGCATTAACAACTACATCACTCTAGCAAGGCTCCCCAGTCACATTAGAGTGGAAATGCTGAGGTTTGGTACACCTCTTTGCTTGCCCCACACTTGTAACAGAAGACACTGTTTGGAAATTTTTTTCATGTAAAGGAGACAACCTCTCTATGCTATTTTTGGCTTTATAAGTGTCATGACTATAAATGATAATATTTCAAATGGAGAGATATTTTACAGTCCAAATCAGCAGGGTTATCTCATGCAATCACCAAATTACAAATTAAGCCAGGTGCCTACCAAGCCCTCTTCTGTTATTTCCTTGTCTCTCCTCATTCGAATCTACTAATTATTGCTCACATAGTACTTAAGAAGGACGGTGGAGGTGTAGCCTGAGGGCTGGGATCCAACCCTGGCTCTGCTGTTTCACCAGCTTTATAATGTTAGACAAATCCCTTTACCACTCTATACTCAAAGGGTTAAATTAGGGAGTTCCAATCAATGATCTATTTTCACTCCAACATCCTGGGGGTTTGCAAGTTTGTGAGAACATAGACTTGGTTTTGAGGATTTAAACCTGGCTAATGATGTTCAGAAGTTATGACATTTCTCACATCAGAATATTTGCTTGATAATTATTTATATGAAAGTATGTAGTATGGCATAAAAACAGTTTGAATTATTTTTTTAAAAAGTAGTAATAAAACCATGATCATTTTTTGCTATCTATCCATATGGCTTGGAAAGAAAAAATTTGAAAAGGCTAGAAAAATAAAAGTAGTTGCTGTTTATTGGGGAAATGAAGATTTACATTTTGTTTCTGGCATTATTCTTGAGACTCTCAAATATAAACCCACCAGACAGGCTACATTTAGGTATATTGTTGCTCAGTTACTGGGTCTTGGCTGTGTACTTAGGGATAATTTGATATTACTTCCTTCAGTGTAAACACCAAGGAAAGCTCTCTTGCTCTCTTTCTTTTTTTACAATACTTGGACATGGGCTCTGATCTTTTACAATGGTTGGACATCACTAAAAAGTTCGGGCAACCTCACCTCTAGTCTAAATGATGACCTTGTGCAAATTAGAAAAAAGTCATTCGTTCCCTAAGTCACTTTACTACCAGCAGCCAGGAAATGGTTCTATGATTAATCCAAATCTACAGTAAACACAAATATGAATGCTGCCACCCAGAGCTGGACAATGCAAAATTATACATTGTCAGTTTTATTGACCCAAATTTTAGTTGGTAGAATATCAACACTTTGGGTAACTTTGCAAACATCCTTTCTCACCTTTGAGACTCTGTCTCCTCATATGAAAAAGATTGAATGAGACAATCTCCTGAGATAATGTTTTGAGCAATTATGAGATGGTCTTCAAGTAAAAGGAGCATTGCATGGACTGTTTAAGACATAGCCTGCTCTTGCTCCAGTTTTCAAATATTTTTTCTTCACTTAAAGGTTTTCTCCATATCGAATCTCCTTTAGTCTGTATTCCTGCAAGTCAGGAAAATCTATGCTTTAAAAAATAAATTTTCTTTAAAAATACAAGTTACAGCTGGGTGCGATGGCTCACACCTGTAATCCCAGCACTTTGGGAAGCCAAGGTGGGAGGATTGCTTGAGCCCAGGAGTTCAAAACCAGCCTGGGCAACATAGCGAGACCCCATCTCTACAAAAAAAATTTTTTAAATAGCCTGGGTGTGGTGGTGCAGATATGTGGTCCCAGCTACTTGAGAGGCTGAGATGGGAGGATTGCTTGATCCCAAGAGGTGGAGGCTGCAGTGAGCTATGATCACACCACTGCACTCCAGCCAGCATGACAGAGCAAGACCCTATCTCGAAATAAATATTTAAAAAAAAAAAAAAACATTGTTTTAAAGTGGATATAGGTTATAAGCAGTTACCCTTGAAAAAGCACTGCTCTTGAAAAAGCAGTTGCTGAGGCCACACTGTACCCAGGGATAACAAGCCTCATACCTTTCCCTGAACGCCATGCCTGTTCTTGCCTTCTCAGTCAAAAAGAGGTGATTTTGAAAGTTGTTATCAAGGGAGGTGGATTTTGTTCTGGGCCATCCTTTCATGGCAAGATTGTTTCTTTCATTGCAGGACATTCAATATCCTTGGCCTCCACTCACCAAATGCCAAAAAACAACCACCTAATCCTTATGACAACCAAAAAAAAACACCATCCCTACCCCATTTCCAAACACCCTCTTGAGAAATTGCATCACTCTTGGTTGAGATACCTTTTTACCATCAATTTGCACTCTGGCCTTGAAAATGTGCTTTGGAAACATACCACCATATCTTTTGCCAGAAGCCACAAAGGACAGGCATAAGCCTTTTTACATGAAGAGAGTGCAAGAGTCCTTAGAAGAGAGCATTGCATACGGCTTCTCTGAAAAACTGGGCTCCCTGTCTATGTAATAACTGGGGAAACAAATTCAAACGAGTTTCCTAAGATCACTCATTAGATAATAGGCTATGTTGACTCTACAGATAAAATCCCTTAAGGACCCAGCATCTTAGTATACCTTAGTAACGTGCATCATAATTATATCAATGTCATTGTTGGTCATTTCTTGATTACTGGCAATGTACCAGCACCTTACAAATCTCATTTATCCTTTCCACAGCTCTAGATGTAAGTATTCATATCCCCTTACACAGATTAGAAAACTGATACTTAGAAAAGTGAAGTAGTTCGGCAAAGCTCTCCCAGCTAAGTGGCAGAGCTAGGATTCAAGCTGATGTTCATGACACTGAAAAGCAGTGTACTGGCCCATGGCCTGGTGCTTTTCTTAGCCCACCTTACTTTGAAGTAGCAGGAAAGTTAACTGAAATCCCTAACTTTTGAACCAGGCTGTCGGTAGCAACCGAAAAACAATTATTTTGCACTGTGTTCCGCCGGAGATGTTATTTTTCATTATTGCTAGGACTACTCTCAGCAGGGTCACCTCATTAGCTGAAGAAAATGTTCCCTGTTGTTCCGTGAGAGACGGATCAGATGGAGAAGCATAAAAACAAACTCCAGAAAGTGATTCTGTGTTCCCCTCATTTAGGGGATGGAACAGTAATCCCCTTCTTCTCTGATTCCCAGCCTGCTAAGTGATGTTTTACTTCTGTAGTTGCAGAAGTGTTTTGAAAATGATGGAAAAAGTTTTACAGGGATGCCTTACATAACTTTTTATCAGTGTTTCCATAACAGAGTAAATTGGAGTGTCAAACCTTTGGTGAGTACACTTAATACTGGTCTGTTTTAAATTTTCCCATGTAGGAAAATAAGAGTTTGGCTAGATTGGTCCTAATTGCCTGTGAGGAATAACTAAAGTAAGTGAGACTTTGTAAAATATTTTTAAAATTTTTTAAATATTAAATATTTTAATATTTTAGAGTGAGGCGATATTTAATTTTTTTAATATTTTATTTTCATTCAGAACAACCTCAAATGCAAACACTTCATCAGTTATATTATACACCTATTGACAGATATCTCCCAAGCCATGTGTTATAGAAGCCATCTGTAAAACCCTATCACCTTGCTCCATTTGACAATCCATATCTATAGAAACCAAAGTGATTTTTTTCAAAATGACATTCGATCACAGGATATGCATTTCACTTAGAATAAAATCAAAACTCACTGTGGAGGCCAGGTGCAGTGACTCGGGCCTGTAATCCCAGCATTTTGGGAGGCTAAGGTGGGCAGATAGCTTGAGCCCAGGATTTCGAGACCAGTCTAGCCAACATGGTGAAACCCCGCGTCTAGTAAAAATACCAAAATTAGCCGGACATGGTGGTGCACACCTGTAATCCCAGCCACTCGGGAGGCTGAGACAGGAGAATCGCTTGAACCCGGGAGGCGGAGGTTGCAGTGAGCCGAGATCGTGCCATTGCACTCCAGCCTGGGTGACAGAGCAAGACTCCTCATCCTGGCCCACCAGGACGTGACCTGGTGCTGCCTGTCCTCTGACCCCACCTCCTCCCTTTCCTTTCTTGCTTGCTCCCCACCCTCTAACCATTCTGTCTTTCTGTCAGGACTTTCGTATTTATTGTCGTTTCTCATCAAGCACTTGCCTCCTGATCTTAACTTGGCAGATTCTTTCTTTTTTTCAAGCTCCAGGTCAAATTTCATCTCAATTAAAAAAAAAAAATTCTTCCTTAATTCCCTAAGTTGGCCATCCTGATATCTCCAAACACATTATGTTCTTTTGGTTTATTTTTAAAAGAACTTTTTTACTATTTGAAATGATCTTATTATTTTGTTTACTTGCTTATTTTCTGTTAAACTTCAGTAAAAACAGGAAAGTATCCCCATGTCTACAACAGAACCCAGAATATAATAAGGTTCAAGAGTATTTGCTAAACGGATGATGAATGAATGAATGAATGAATGAATGAATTCCAATTCTGTGCCTGGAATGAGATTGCAGTTTCAGATAAATACCATAAGGCACAAAACATTTATTGAGTAGTTTAAATCTACATAATATTTGTGAAAGTTGACATTCAAATCGAAGTTACGAAGTTATATTCTCTATTCTTGGTCTGCCTATCAAGAACAGGAATTCTGGTGGGAAGCAGGGACAAAAAACTCAGAACTGCTTTACAGGGAGAAATTTCGGACCACGTGATACCTAGCTGGAGATAGGCTTTCCTTTTGCAAGACGCAGCTCTTCTGCTTATTCAAGCAGGACCACGCTGATTCTTTTCTTTTTATTTTTTGAGACAGATCTCGCTCTATCACCCAGGCTGGAGTGCAGTGGCGCAATCTCTGCTCACTGCAATCTCCGCCTCCCAGTCTCAAGTGATGCTCCCACCTCAGCCTCCTGAGTAGCCGGGATCACAGGCACGCGCCACCATGCCTAGCTAATTTTTTGTATTTTGGGTAGAGATGGGCTTTCACCATGTTGCCCAGATTGTCTCGTACTCATGAGCTCAGGCGATCCACCTGCCTCAGCATCTTAAAGTTCTGGGATTACAGATGTGAGCCACCATGCCCGGCTGCCAGGCTGATTCTTACCAAAAGTTTCAGGATGAGCATCATAGCATTTGTAAACATGCCTTTTATACTCATTTCCTTGCCTCTTACCTGCAAAAATAAGTCTTTTGACATTCTTCTACTTAACATCATCACTTCCAGGAAGATGGCATTGTGATCTGGTCTCCTCTACTAGCAGTGAACTTGTTTTGTGTTAAGTCTTTGGGTTTTGAAAATAGAGCCTGTGTATGTCCCAGATGTCCTTTTATTGAGTTCACAGAATACAAATGGAAAAATTTTATTACCAGGCAGTGGTGTTTAAAAATGAAAATCAAACCTAATACATGGACTCAGACAACTAGAATAAGGAATATAATATTTATAAAACTGAGTAGGAGGTTGCAATCATTGCTCTAAAATAAGGCATTAAAAATGAATTCAGAGCAAACCTATCTGTGCTACAGCAAAGCTCTCTTTCATTAAGGTAGCACTGCATGTTTCTCCAGAATTAGTTCCCCCAAATAGGTAAATAGCTTGTAAGAACTGAGTGTTCGGCAAACTACGGAAGTGCTACCTGAGGCACGATTTAGAGTTGCTTTTAGTATTACAGCTTTATAGACCTTTCATTTTGAACCAGTTAATTGTGAAACTTGTTTTCCTCTGTTTTTTGCCCTTGAGTATTACTAGGAAGGTTTAATTCACAGGCTTCTTAGTCATCTTCATTTTATTAATCCAAATGGTGCTGTATCATTTGATTAATTCATATGTAGCAGAATAGTAAATCTTGGAGAACTGTGGTTACCAGTATAAGATATACTTTAAAACTTTCCATAGGTTTTTCATTTCAAAAAGTTTGTGTTGCACATATTTTAAGTGACTTTTCCCTATCTTATTCCACTTCACATTATTATCATTATCCATATTGCATTATTATTGTTAGTTTCCACCTTCAGAATACACTAAAAAGGAAGAGAAATAAAATGCTAGTGCTATTTCTGCATTTTTCTATTGAGATGAAAGTTTTTATTTTTCCCAATATACACCATTTCTCTGAAGCCCTAAAATAAATACCCTTATAACCTCTAGGCCCTATTGATTTTCTAATGATTTCAAATAAAAAGCATCCAGTTTCCATTGCATTGACAAACTGTTCAGTCCCTAGGCAAAACCTATCGAACTCCTATTAAATGAAGGGGGCAAGAAACAACAGAAAATCCAAAAAGTAGATTTGAGATGGAGCGGGGGAGAGGTGGTCTCAGCTTAGCTCAGTAAATGGGTACTTAACCTTTGACCAATGATGACAGGTCTTCTTTAGTTCTCTTAGACCAAGCACAAGCTGTTATGATTAAATAAAAAAGAAAAAAAAACTGTTTAGAGCCTTACTGAATATGTCCTGGGAATTAAAGCATATGGCAGGGATAAGGAAAAAAGATTTTCCTTATGCTAATGACCCCTGATGTCTGAAATAAATTAGATCCATTAGAGTTTATGCTCAATAAAAGAAAGACTTTAAGCACTCCAAAGTTAGTGACTCGAGACCAGTTTTTGCTCTAAAATTCAATCTGCCTGCTTATTAATTCTTAGTGAGGCTCCAGAGCAGACAGGAGATGCAAAATCATAATTTTATACTGAATCAGAATTTTAAAAGACCACAGGTTTCTTTTCCTTTTAATTAAACCATTTTTCATGCTTCCTATTTTCTTTCCCTCATTAATTTGATTTTGTTCCCATTTTTGTTTCATTTTTTTTTCTTTTCAAGGTTTCATTTATCCCATTTCAACTGAACAGAGAACCCAGAATGAATATGGATTTTCTTGTAAGTTTGATGTTTGGATTTTATGTTGCTGAATAATCATTTAACGTTATTGCCCCTAGTTCAAGTTTACCTTTCTTCGGATTACAGATGTGCACACAGGAAATAGGAGCCTAATATATTCTAACATGAAAAATAAATTAGATTTTTGCTGCTGAAGAGAAGAAAGGGTCATTTCAAGACTCTGCCAACTTTAAAATCTATCAGTCTACCATTCAAAGCTTGAGTCCCAGTAGCTGACAAAACATATCATGAAATGTGCTGATATAAGTAAAGGGCAGGGTTCAAATACCAAAACAGAAAGGGTTGAAAAAAGACAGATGGGTTGAGCTAGAAATCATGAATGTTGAATAAGTAACTATGACCTGGTAAAGTAAAACAATAAGAATTTAGATATAATATTCTGACCAGAGTTCAGAATCCTGCAGCAGTGCCTCAAATAAAACCCAACAGAGAAGTGAAGTAAGTACTTTGAAAGCAGCACTCACCCAATCACGAGTATTTGTGATATCACTGGTTTTCTGAAGAAAATTTGCTAACATTGACTTGATTGATGGGAAAGTGAATATTCTGGAAATGTTGGGAAGAAAATTATTTTTAAAAGAAAGCAAAATCCTTTTGGATACATTACATTTAAACACAAAATGCCAAAAGAGATAGAGCAATTCCCAATAAAGAATTCATTTACACTGCTAATATGTGAAAGATTCCATGACATTAGAGTGTGGGTTGTCTCATGAGCCACTGGCAAATGAAATGATGAGTTATTTCACCATGTAAACCATGTGGCTGTGAGCGTTAGGAGAGGGCCGTGGTTCCTCACATTTTAGGAGGTCATGGGACCTACAAATTGGAAAGTTCTCTCTCCCTGAAAAATGTACATGTATATAAAATTGACCATAAAATTCTAGGTTGTTCTCGACTACCTGAAGTACCAATTTAACAACCTCTTTTACAGTGAGTGGAGCAGCTTTGATTAATTTTGCTGAACATGTTTTTGTGCATCACAGAATACTAAAAACAGAGACTTAAAAATGTCAAAGGGGTCCACAAAGGTTTCATTTCATTTGTTTGTTTTAATTATCAGCTTCTATCACCTTTTCCAGTTAGATGCAAGCATGTTCTGTGCCACCAAGGCAACATGCAACATTTATAGGAATTCTGTTCCAGAAAAAAGACCTCAGTTGACTGACACACTGTGTTGGTCAAATGCTTATTTGCCTTCTGGGGTAGTCTGAACTTTCTGATCACTGAACCAGGCCTTTGTCTTCCTTAGTGCACAAGAGAGCTATATTTTATTCTAGTAATGAGTAGCTCAAATGTAAATCTCTGACAGGGGACCGTGAGAAGCTCAGGGTTCTCAGAGATAATACTGCATCTGTATCAAAGCCTGGACTTAGAGAAGGTTATCAGCATTAACCTCTGTCCCCCAGATCTGGGCCCTCTGAAAGCACACCTTTCAAATTTAATATGTTTGCTCCTAGTATTTGCTTTGCTTAGTTACACCATTCCCACCCACCTCTCCATTGATTTAGGGGAAAGTGAGAAGAGTGCTATGGAAAGTCATTTTATGACTTGGAGTGATACTTAGGAAAATATTCTGGTTCAATAAATATGCAGATTTAAAACATGCCAGATATTTCTAACAGTGTTTATGTTTATGTTTTTAAAGAACTATCAGTGAATTCAAAAACCCTTCCAAACTTTTCCACCTGAAATGAGTAATAAACTTTTTTTTCCTGTGGGTTGGGATGGTTTTAGTTCCAGTTTCTTTATATGCCTAGTAATAAACAGTCTGTTATGCTGCCCAATTATAAGATAGATTAGTGGGTGGATAGATGCAGAGTGAGAAAGGAAAAGAAATCAGAGACAATTTTCCACTGAAAGGCCACAGCCATTTTATATAGCTTTTGAAATAGATTTGAAATTAACCTATAAAAAAGGCAGTAAATGTCTGAAAAAATTATAGCAATACATATGTGTACTGTGGGAAATTTCTATAAGCAGCTGGTTCAATGTTTCACTCTCCTCTCTAGCTGCTCCTGATTCAGATGATGTTGCTCTCTATGTTGGGATTGTGATAGCAGTGATCGTTTGCCTGGCGATCTCTGTAGTTGTGGCCTTGTTTGTGTATCGGAAGAATCATCGTGACTTTGAGTCAGATATTATTGACTCTTCGGCACTCAATGGGGGCTTTCAGCCTGTGAACATCAAGGCAGCAAGACAAGGTCAGTTGACATTCCACTTCACACCCTGTTACTTATGCATGTAAGCAGTTTCAAAATCAATGACTTTAGAGTCATCTCATTCAGCTAGAATGTAAGCTCCATGAAGACAGCAATTTGAGTTAATTTTGTTCATTACTGTATTGATGTCATTTACATAACAAATTAGAGTTAACAAGATAAATCCTCTTTTTTTCTTTTCTGACAGATTGCTCTGTCACTTTTTAACTTCTAATCGAAAAGAGTACCCTGATTGGTTGACTGATTTCTTGAGTCTCTTTTTTTAACTTCCTTTGACAAGATATCTTGTATTGCTATGAATAGAATGATTTACCAATGAACCCAAATCCAGTATAGACCAGGGAAACCATAGCTAATCGTCACCTAGTGAGGCTCGTTGTTCAATCCAATCTGTTGAAATAGCCAAATACCTTGGGCATAATGAGTAGACATCAAAGCAAATTATAGAATGAGCTTGACCACTTACTTACAGCCAATAATAAAAGAGCTGGTAGTTATCTGATTGCCCTGTTTTCAGTAGAGCCTGTCTATCTATCTCCGATATTAGCTGAGCTGCTTTACTTTCGGCTCAGAAAGTGTGAGGGGGAGTCTGACTAATGTAGGTTGGCCTGAATGGAGAATGCCAATGGGATTATTTTCTCTTTCTGACTCAGATCTGCTGGCTGTACCCCCAGACCTCACGTCAGCTGCAGCCATGTACAGAGGACCTGTCTATGCCCTGCATGACGTCTCAGACAAAATCCCAATGACCAACTCTCCAATTCTGGATCCACTGCCCAACCTGAAAATCAAAGTGTACAACACCTCAGGTGCTGTCACCCCCCAAGATGACCTCTCTGAGTTTACGTCCAAGCTGTCCCCTCAGATGACCCAGTCGTTGTTGGAGAATGAAGCCCTCAGCCTGAAGAACCAGAGTCTAGCAAGGCAGACTGATCCATCCTGTACCGCATTTGGCAGCTTCAACTCGCTGGGAGGTCACCTTATTGTTCCCAATTCAGGTAATTCCTAGAGGTTTAAATTGCAAAGAGGCAGCTTGAAACATATTTTTCCATACCAAAATCTTTTTTGTTCGTGGGATGTTTTCATTAGGCCTGAAATGTTAAATGTGACCTATCCAGCCCAAATCTACTTTCAATGTAAACAGAACATTACTTCAGACAAATCAGCAAAACCATTTCTCTTCCTCCAACTAATTCTGAAAACACTTCCTCTAGAAATTCTATACTCACAACTTTCTGCTGAGGTGTAATTTAGAACCATCATTGACCTCCTTTTTACTAGAACTTCAGAAGGCAACATCAAGCCACAAGTCCTAATGTTGTCATTATACTTTAAAAGGACGAATTAATTATTAAATATATCATTTGATTAAGTTCCAATTTACTACATGAAGCAATAATACAGAAAACAAATTTTTTGATCATCAGAGGTATCATAATAGACATCAAATCTTCATTTATTAACCTAACTTGATCACACAGTCTTTCACCTCACAGTATTGATAGTGTACACTGTACTCACTCCTACCTCTGATATTTGTATCCAGAATCACCAGATTCATCAGGTGTGCTTTTGTACTATTACTTGGTTTCAGTTTATTATGTAGTTTCTCTGCATCTAGACAATAAGCCTCATAAAGGTCTTTCATGGTGAATGAAGGTTAATGCCTGATACTGTTGGATTAAAAATCGATATTCATTAATCAATATTAGTAATGAGCTTGGAACCATGGGTCATAAAAGGGTTAATGGCTTCCTCTCTAAATCTATCTAATTCTTTTGGGCAAGGCTGTGAGTATTTTGTAAATACAGTAATACCTAAAATGTAAATACCTAAAGTGTTGTCACATTGAAAAAACATAATATGTGTATACTCAAGGAATATACAGACCAAAGAGTCTTCAGGCCTGAATATGAAATTTTATTTGATTCTTCCTGTCATTCACTCTTTCATTTCAATGCCTTGGCAACTTTTACCCTAAACCTTTAAAAGTATATTTTAACAAAATCAAAACATTTAATAAAATATTTTTTTCTTCACAGTTTACATAGCTGAGATCATGTATTATATAATGTTTTCCACCCTTTTCTCATTAATCCTCATGCTATTGCATGCTCTTTAAAATCATGATTTTAAATATCTTTATAACAGTCCATTATTGAATGAATCAAAACATACTTTAAGGTTCTTCCATTGTTTAAACATTACAATTGTTCTCAAAATAGTTCTTTTCCCTCTGAAATGTATTGGATTCTGCCTTTTCTTCCCATTTCTACCTACCACTTTTTCATATGTGCATTATTATAAAGGCCTCTTAAGTGGAAGGGAGTGAGCTAGCATGTTTTAAATTCTTCCTATGTATTAGGCAATGGTGATCAACATATGATATTTTATTTAATGGACAAACAATAGTTACCTATTACTTTATATTCATAATGCTGTTTCATCCCTATAACAAAGATTAAGGTATGTTTTATGTTTTCAATGAAAAAAATAAAAGCACTGAGGCTTGGTAGCCTCATGTGTGATCTTCCTGCTGTGTCCTCCACAAATCATTCTGTACATTGACAGTCCACTTCCTACAACACCAGGGCTCTCACATTACTCTCCTTCTCAAGAGGTCTGTGGCTCAACATCTTCAACCAGTTACATGAAGGCCTACTACCTCTTAACTCTCCATTCTTTTTTCTTGAGACTTTCCAGTGTGGTCAGGCAAGTTTTCATATTGCCCCACGCTCATTTGGCATATTCCATTTCCTCGCTAATTAAATTATGAATTACTCAAAGACAGGAAGACTATCTTTTCCTTTTTGAAATTCACAACAGTGTCAAACACTGTACTCACAAGGATGCTTCATAAATTTGTATGGAGCTGAAGGAAGCTGGATTTTAGGGGAATCAAATGATGGAGCCAAACATCTTTGGAGTGCTGTCCACACTGAATCACTCTTTGTGATGATGAGCAGTGGTGTGGGCCCCAGACCATCACCATGGGCATCACCTGGCAACTGGTTGAACTAAAAAATCTACCCCACACCCCATATCTCTGAATCAGAAACTCGGGGTAGGGACCAGTAATCTGTGGTTTAACAAGCTTTCCAGGTGGTTCTGACCTGAGCTCAAATTTGCAAGCCACTGCCACAGCAGACACAGTTAGCTTAGAACACAGCCCAATCTAATAGTTCTGCCAAAGGGCACCGATTAGCAACTAACTAGAAACGCTTTGACCTGCTGTGACTAAACTAGGAGTTAGTGTTCACTTTCTAGAGTTATGTATAATAAAAGGTCTTCACCAATTCTTATACCATTGTGGAATTACATTGATGCTAACCGGATATTTAAAAAATACATGTTGTTTTTTTTTTTATGTTGAAGTTGGCATTTCCCTGACTTTGAATCTTGTGGGGATTTTAAAAAAAAATGGAAATGATGCATCATTACAGCTGTTTGAAATTTTGAGCAGTTGTTGGTTTTCCCCTTGTCTTGCAAGGAAAACAACAGTGGAACCATCTGTCTGTTCCTCAAATAAAACAAGAGTTTAAAAAGTTACATCATTCCTTTAAGTAATTGCATAAGAGTTCAGAGGGAGCCGTGGTAAGGAGGCCAATGAGGAAGGAAAATGGAGCAACTCGGAATATTTACATGTCTTTAGAGAAAATGAAGCAGGCTTATGGCTGCGCGGTCACAAAATCTCCTCATTCCCTTTTACGTGCTGCAAAAGTCTTAAATGACTGCTTTTCTCTTTTGCTATTCAGGAGTCAGCTTGCTGATTCCCGCTGGGGCCATTCCCCAAGGGAGAGTCTACGAAATGTATGTGACTGTACACAGGAAAGAAACTATGAGGTAAATATGCTTTTTCTGGTGCACTGACTTTACCAATGTCTAACTTGGAGGAGAATTGTACAATAGACACAATAAACCCAACATATTTTTGTCTCAAGTGCCTTGCTTCTGGCATACATTCTTTTTCCCTTGACCTACAAAAGGTCAGGTTTTACTTCTCTTTGTCTTTGAGGCTCCAGACGCTTTTGCAGATCTTGAATATGGGTAGAAGGCTAGAGATCTTTTCCCAAGTGGACACGTTGCCATATTTCCTGGAAAAATGTCCAGAAATGTGATCCCTAGATTGTCCAGAGAGACAAGTGGGTAGACACAGAGACGTCGACTTCATGGCATCTGGCTCAGGAATCCAGCCTGTTCCCATTACAGAGTCAAAGGTCACAAAGGATTGGACAACTCCTCCAATCCCTACCGCTCCCACTCAGCCTAGCCCTTAATTCTGACCCACGATTCTTCCTTTTGTGACTGTCTTCTAGCTTAAGTATTACTAATTTCCTTCTTATGTTTAACACTTATAAATTCCACATTAGGCTGTTCAGAATGGGTCTAGGATTGATTAAAACTAGATTGAATTAAAAGGTTTTGTTTAGAATGTTTCATAATCATAAAGAAGAAGTTATTTTAAGTAAAAATAACAAGAGGCATTGAGAAGTCCTAAATTCAATTTTCAGTTTGGCCTCTAACAAATCGTATTGGGTATTTCTTGATTAGTTTCCATGTAAAATGCGTGTGTTAAATAGTGCTTTAGAAGCCTGATTAATGCTTCTGAAGTACACCAAGATCTTAAAATGAAAGATGTTGTTAAAATGGAGATCCTCATCATGTAATTATCATTGTTTTTCCCAAGGGGAAGAGCATCGGCTCCTCAGCCCTGAGCTCTGAATATAAAGCATGAGTGACAATGCAGAACTAGGTTATCATTATAACACATTATACCTTTTCTTTTCCCAGCTCTCATCCTCAGAAAAACGTCCATTTTTAGCCTTGTTCTTCACTAGCCATAAAGCTTTTGTATTATGCTCTCAGGTGGAGATACTGGCATTTATAATTGGTGTGACCCAGAACATTTTTTTCCTCGGGTGGTGTACTTCCACCTACATAAATACTAGCCTGTCTAAGAAAATAATACAATTCTTGAGCATTATTCATGCCTTAAATTTGAGCAACAGAAAAATCACTAAAAGGCTTGTATTTACCCACATCAAATATTCATTTTTTTCATTCCCAATGCAAAGCAACATTCACAGGCCCTCAAAGCTCCCTTCTTTTGCATCAGGAGAAAAGAAGATCAGCAAACTCCAAGATCTCTTTATTTTATTTTATTTTTCTTTCTCTCTTCCAGAGTCAAGGTTAGCATTAAGTACATCTATCCATCAAGGCCTTTGTCAGCGTGGACATTTTGTTTAAATAGAAATAAGTATTGGCTTGTGCTTTATGGTGAGAAACAGTAAGATGCCTGAGCTCTCCTATTTTCCATCAGATTATCATTATCTGCAGCTGAAGATCAAGCCTTAAGGGGCTGCTGCAGGCACGGGCTGAAGCTGAAAGAGGTGTGCACTCACGTGCCTGCTCTCCCCATACTTTCCTTGGCAGCCGAACCAGGATAATTGTACATTTTAGATGAAAGAAAGAGAAAACAGAAAATTGATAAAGCTAGACACTTTTCTGCTGTTAGGGTTCTCTGCCTTTGACTATAATGAAACGGAAACTATAAATCACTCCTTGCTATGCCTACCATCTGAAGTTAGGTGCAGAGGGAATTACTCTGTTGAATTTGGTGTGCATAAAAGAAGTTCTGTTTATAAAAATGAAGCTAGGAAAACCTCAAGATCTCAAAAGAAAATATGCACTACAGACCATGAACCAAGAAACAAACACAGGAGGATAACAGTTTCAGATAAATGAGAAGTCTTCTCTTCACTAGTTTTCTGTTATGAACCAGATGCATTTTTATTGTAAAACACAATGGCAAGAATGTGCTTTAGGATATAGTCATAAAACAAAGCATCCCTGCCCTTCATCCAGCAAACTCTTAATTTCATTTACTTCTCACTACGTTCTGCAAGCTGTGATGAGCTCCACTTTAAAGATGAAGAAACTGAGGCACAGGGGAATTGGGTTCCAAAGCCAAGGTTTCAGTTAGTACCTTAGCAAGGCAGAATTCAGACTCAGGCTTTTCTGATCACAAAGCACTTTCTGCTTCCTAATGTGCCATCCTCCTCCATTGCACCAATGCACAAACCAAACCTCTGCCTATGTATTACGGTGCATTTTTGGATACACTTTCTATTGCTCACTAAAGATCCTTTCTATCCACACATGATACAAGACAGAACTTCTTTGGAAGAAGACTCTGTGAGGACATCAGGAGCTGTGATGTTACTATGCATTCGTAGGAAAATTCTGAGCATTTTTCTCCATTTTCCTTCTCTCTGATTACTTTTATTGCATCCCAAACTGGGTATGTTTCCAGCTGGATGGTATCCAGCTGGTCATCTGCGGATGTGAATTGTCTGAAGGGAGGCGTGAACTTAATTACATGTGGCATAGTGAATGTGACAAGAGGGGTCTTATCATTGCTGAATATGCTCTAAGCGAAAGTGCAGGCTGGCAGCTGAACAGCCTGAATGAGCCACAGAGATGGGACAAGCGGTCTCTGACCAAAGAGGGTGCAGAGCTGCAAGGCTGTGCTCAGGATTTCTACCTCTCCTGCTTTACAGATCTCTGGAAAGGCGGCGACGCCTTTGTTTTCCTGGTGGATACAATTTCCACAATTAATGCTGCTAACATGGGCCTTTTTGCCTTGTTTCTAGTAGCAGTTTGCACAAATGAACCCGACCTAGACTGAAATTTTGTTCTTTATTGATTCTTGTTGGAAAACAATTGGAATTGAAGATATGAAAGTTGATTTTCCCTTTTCTCTGCATTCTGTACTCACCTAGCAGTTTTATCAAAGGGTGAAGAAATCAATTTAGAAATTGCAAATACAAAGGTAAATAGAACACCCTTTCTGTAAACCGCAGGGAGCCATGGAAAGTTTCTGAGCAGCTGAGTGACGCAGGAATAGCAGCGCTTTTTAAAGATTGATCCGGTGACAGTGCATGGAATGCATCGGTGGAGGGAACAGAAGGACTCGCCCAGAAGGCTTGGTGCCTGGGTGGGCCCTGGCAGTAATGCAGGTGTGAGGAGAGAGGAGGAGGAGGAACCGGGCCGGAGGGTGAGCCAGGTCCCAGTCTGAGAGAATGGAGAGGGTATGGAGAGAATCTATTTCAGAAGAGAAAGTATTTCACAGCTGGCTAGAAGTGTTGCAAAGGAGGGGCAGAACACACAGAATAGATTCAAGAATCAAGCCTGGGGCACTGTGACAATTGTGAGAAAGGTGAGAAGCAGCAGTGGCTCCAGGGGAGAGGACAGATTCCAGTTTGGATGCGTTCAGTGTGAGTGGGGATGTGGATTCCTGCTAGGGACGTGGAAGTGAAGTCACGGCAAGGAAGGAACCTCCAGCCGAGAAAATGCAGAAGCAGAAAGAACTGGGGAAAGAACTTTAAGAAATACTCCTGTGAAGGTTTGGGTGTGATGAGAGAAACTAGATAGAACATGTAAGGATAAGGCAAATGAAGAGTTTGCATCTAGCACAGTACTTAACATATTACTGTGTTAGGAGTAGTGGCTCCTCAATGAATATTTCCTAATGAAAGTACGAAGGTTTGTAAGGGTAGACAGACAAACCGCGGTATAAATAGGATCTCAAAAATCAAAGGTAAAAAGGGCTCCAAGATGGAGCCTCAACACGAGGTGTCATTAAAGTAAAAATGTAAAGAAAGAGGAAGAACAACAAAAAGATTATTAGATTTGTCAACTGTGGGGCATTAGTGGTGTTCAGAACTTTTTTTTTTAATTGGTGGAATCCCCTTAGCAATGGTTTAAGATGTGAGATAGTAGTGTGGCAACTGACACTATCATATACATCTATTAAATATAAATAATAAAGCAATGTGTGAGGATAAAGGTCCAAAATTCCCTATGTAGGTAATTGTATAGAGATAGATTTGCTTATCATGTTATTTTTTGGAATTTTGTAAAATAGTAGTTGACATTATTCTGTCTCAAGGAAACACAGTGATCTTTCTCCTTTTAGTAGAGTCCTTTCTCATTCATGAGCCTCAAGTTCCTCAGTTTGAAGGAAGAGCCATAAAAAGGCTAACAGTGGGAGTTAGTGAGTCCAGGTATATTGAAATCTTATCCTCATACTGTTCTTGACAATGTTCATTTATTGAAATCCTACTTAGAGAGAAATGCTTCAAGATAGTTTACGAAAACACTTCTCAATAAGAGAAATAAATTTAAATAAGTGGATAAAAAAGGTAAGAAAATGGGGAAAATAAAGTTATAAAAGATAAGATAAAGTAGGCGAGCGGTTAGAATATAAAATAGTTGGTGTAATTCCCAGCACATTTGCTAGTACCAGGTCGTGAATTTACTATTTCTAAGCCTTTCAAGAAGGGAATGTGTTAAGTTACAAGATCCGCATGTCCATGAGGAAAAAAATATGCTCAGAAGAAACCCAATTATTTTTCCTTTGGTTCCTCATAAAGAAGACATTTTGCTAATGCAGTGAACAGCATCCTTAAAGAAAAACAGCAATGAGTTTCAAGGGCTGCTTCTATCAGTGTCCCTCAATGGAGGTAGATAAGCATAATGCTTATCAGTTCTGGCTTAATCCAGGGATAGATTTTGGCCTGTCTAGGGAAATGGTGGCACGCCCTTCGGAGTGGCTTTCATAAATATTATTTTTGCACAATTGAGCTTTTGATAGCAAGTGAGTTAGATATTCCCTGTCAGGTACCTAGAGTGCAAATATTTCAAGTTGCCAGTTATGTGTGAAGGCCTGTGCTTTAAAAGGCAGCTGAGCCTAGGGTGGGATTATCATCCTGAGGGACCAGATAAAAGACATGTCCACTACTAGAAGGCATCTCCTGTTCCCACAGAGGTGGATGGAGACAGATTCTTTCCTTGAGCCTGCTCTAGGAAACAGACAAGAATAGTTTCGCAAGGACTTAAACCCACTCTAAGCAACCCAAAATACAGCATCGTGTGAAAGAAATTAAATGATTTGTGTTTGAAACCTACCTAGCTTTGCATCCTTAGGCAAGTGTGTTAATATCTGTAGATTTCAGTTTCCTCTTCTGGAAAAGAGGTAATAGACATACACTGCCATACAGGTGTACCATGAGCAGCAAATGCAATGGCTTATGTGAAAGTTTTGTAAATTATGCACTCTTGATTAGAAGTTCTCCTCACTGATAATGACAAGCAAAGGATGAGAAAATATTTCTGACAGGAAACTGAAATTTCTCTCTGTGGGCTTTGTCCTAGAGGACTCAGCACCCATCCAGCATTTACTGGAATATTATCCTTGTTGGACTTTGGAAAACATTTAAAATTTTAATCATTGTTCTTTGCTGAAATTTCTACTTAATTGATGCTTCTGAAGCTAATTTTTGCTCTATGTTCATTTCCATATCATCTGCAATTAATATTTACAGACTGCTTGAATTGCTTAGAAAACACATGAGACATAGAGAAGTCCTTCTCTGCAAAAACAAGAATCTGAGATATTTTTATTTTCTGCTATTTTCTTCTATGTGATTTAATAGCTTCCTTTGTATAAAGGAAATGTGTTACACACTCTGACCTTAGTTTTCACATAGTTAAATCTTATCCTGCGTAACTCCTTACATATATGCTCAGATATTTGCAATTTCAATGCTATTTATGTCATCTTGAAAGCCTATAAGAGAATCTTATCATTATTTCTTCTTTGTTTTTCATTCCCTGTTAAGAATTCCACTTCACCACTTCCCTATTCATTACATTCTTGCACCTCACTGGGTTAATAAATTCTTTTGACACCTACTGCCCCTCCTTCCTCCCTCCTTCCCTTGCTATCCCTCCTCCAAGAATGGTGCCCATCAATATTGCATGCCAGGGGTGTACTTGGAGAGTACAGGTCTGACAGCTCCCCAGCCCAGCAGGGAGCCTTCTCCCTTCTGTTCCAAGTCAGTGATGAGAAGGACCCCTCCTCCTTCCTGCCTCAAGCACCGGCTGCTAACACCAGACTGAGAGATAGATGTCTCCAATCCCCAACTATATTGCAAAGACCACTTGAAATACATTCCACTCTAGTCTCCTTCCTTAAAAGTTTAATGTTCACTTCTCAAGGTACACTTGTAACTAGAAGGTAAGAGTTCTGCTCAGAAAAATGCAATCATTGGTTTTTTCCCCCTCCAGGAGAGGAAAAAATAGAATTAAGCAATAATAAAGTCACTCCTTAAGGCAGATAGTATAGTATTAACTATGACACGGTGAAAGCAGAACTTGACTTGTGTTCTAAGAGAATGAATTTCAGACTGGAAGAAGGACAAATTGGGTTAAGAGAAAATGAAAACCAAGGTGGTAATGGGGATAGTAATGAGGTCTCAAGTTGCTCCCAATAACCTTATAGTTCCAAATTTAAGTACATTCCCAAGTACCTAAATAACTTTAGCTATAATGGAGGAAAGGGTATTGTTATTTAAAGAGAACGGAAATGCTATTAAAAGACTAAAAGTAGGTAAAATTTGTGTTGGTTTTCTAAATAGGAAGAAAGAAAAGCCATAGGTTGGTGAGATCCTGGTGCAATTTCAGAATAAGTGAGGAAGCACTGATAGCCAAGAGTTATTAAGGGGAACATATACCAAATTTTAATTGTGTTCTTAGAATTAATAGTCAACTGTGGAAGCTCTAAGATACAAACTTACTTGTGAGCTACCAAGTTAGCTGCTACAGTTTTATGCGTGCTGATAAAACACACAAGTCTTGTGGATCAAAGACAACAGACAGCTTATTACCCACAGCGATAGCATTATACAGAGTACCATCATGTTTGTGCCAATTTTGTGAGCCCCATTTTAGAAATGGTGATGCAAAAATGTTCAGATGAAGTCTACACACTCAATGGTTGCATTCCAGAAAAGGATCTATGAGCTTAGGGAACCTGAGTCTTTTATAATGAGGAGTAGACAGGCCTGCCATTTGCTCCAGAAGTAGACATTGTCTTTATCTTTCAAGGTAATTGCTATACAAACATCCATGCATAAACATGAGAAATCCATGGATAATTGTCTTCCAACAATATTAACAATAATAACAACTGCTACCATTCATTGAGTGTTCAACGAGGGTACCCATAGATAAAAGCTAACTTCTGGAATATGTAATAAATAATACGTAAACCATAGACAAAAACTAGAGAAAAATCCATTTCAAGTGACCATTGCAATTATAAAGGAATTTGATGTGTCCCTTGTCATATATATGTGAATTCCATCAAAAGATGTGAACCAAACAATGTCCATTTTAATGGGTTTATATTTGGTGGAACTAAATAGCTCAAAGTATTGATATCAGACTGGAAAGAGGTTCCAAATGGTGTCCTTGAAAAGGTCTCTGCCCTTGCCCTGTTCTTGTGTTGCAAAGTTATCAATGGTTAGAATGAGAACATAAATGGCAAGCATATCAGATTTAGGGAGGAGAAAAGACCGGAAGAGATAGCCAATGTTTGGAGGGAAGATAGAGCATGAAGAAATAGATGACCCAAAATTTACCTTGAAACTATTAAGTTCAAATGAAAAGCTAAATGTAAATTTCTGTACATAGGTTTAAAAGCCATCATTACAATCATGGAACCAGACTTAGCCTAAGAGCCTTTCATGTTGGGAATACTTAGAGTGGTTAGTTTAACAAATTTCTTAACTTCCTTGGAGCTTCACTGCTTCATTTTATAAAGGAAATGCTTAACCATACTATCTCTATCTTCCCATGTAACTGGAGCCTGCTAAATAATATTTGTAAGTAATTCCTTGATTGGGAAT
Organism: Homo sapiens; assembly: GCF_000001405.40. Taxonomy (NCBI): domain Eukaryota; kingdom Metazoa; phylum Chordata; class Mammalia; order Primates; family Hominidae; genus Homo; species Homo sapiens. Next base: position 95,208,213 of record NC_000004.12, on the reverse strand, counting down.
AATCAACAGCAACAATTTTGTGAGGCATGAATACAAACACAGATGGCAAATCAAAGAAAATACTCTCTCATACTATTTGAGTGTTGAGTTCAAGGTGCCACCACTTTAACGAGGACCTGGAAAACAATGACAAGCATCCATATGAAAATGAAGATAGAAACCCGAGGAGAGATCTGGAAACCATGCTATTCCAGCTGAGGGTGGAAACATTGAGGTTGTTTGGTCTGTAATAAAGAAGACTGTAGAGACATCATAATGATCTCCAAATATATGAAACAGTGTAGCATCAAAAGCAAATCAAGGATACATACAGAGAAATTTCAGGAAGTCAGGTTGTGCTCATTCTAAGTAAGAATATTTTGTAAATTTGAGTTTATAGTAAACGAGGTGACCTTTTAGCAGTAATGGAACAATTCTGGATGTGTCTATAGCACTAACTATACGTCAGCCATGTTTTAGAGGGGTTCTGGCTGGATGGAAGGTGCTGCCGAATGACTTCCAAGGGCCCTTCTAAAATTCTGTGAGTCCATGATTTCAAAAGCTATGCTCTTCTGATTGAGTGAGTAGTTTGACTGTTGTCGTTGAGAGGGCATTTATTTTCATCTCAGCACTAACTAGCACTTAGTTGTGAGACTTGGGGCAATCCACTCAATACCTTTGGAACTATATCTTCACAAATTTACTGATAGGCTAGGTTAATTTATCCATTTGCTTGTTGATTACAGTCCTGTTAGGGAAAAGATTAAAGGCAATTTTTATATATAAGAATAAAGAATCTGCATATTTTAGGTTCTTTCTGCCCAGATTCTCTGAGCATGAACTATACAAGAGATCTCATTTTAAGTTGCTGTATAAATACAGTTCTATATTATTTCTAGTCATATTTGAAAGAATGAATCTGCTGTACTAGCCTAAATTATTCCTGAAAGTCATTTGGACTAAGTTTAGTTCTAGAGTGTCCTCATTCTGAAATGATTTTTTAAAACTATTTTTCAAGTCAGGTCCTGAAACCACAAAAGTATTTAAAACCCTGTGAGACCAGTGGCAAGAATTATCAGAAAATCTGCTTATGTAACTTCATAGGGACTCTGTTCATTCTCATTCCATCTTGAAAGTGTCTGTACATAAATTTGGAGGAAGCTACCATAGAAAGACCAGTGTCGGAGGGAAGGGGATCAAAGAGATGCTGGCAAGTTTATTGTTATCATAAAGACTTCCAGTCCTGCAAGATCAAGGTCTTGGTATAGAGAGCATTTAATTCTGTATCACCTATTTCCTCTCCCCAACCCCCCAGAAAAAAAAAAAAAAAAAGAATTCCAGGAGAAAACTACTTGACCTGTTTGCCTTCAGAACCCAAGTGCATAGTTCATGAATACAATGGAAATGTCACTGAAGCCATTCTCTGCTCTCCTCCTAGGCCACCCATGGATGACTCTCAGACACTTTTGACCCCTGTGGTGAGCTGTGGGCCCCCAGGAGCTCTGCTCACCCGCCCAGTCGTCCTCACTATGCATCACTGCGCAGACCCCAATACCGAGGACTGGAAAATACTGCTCAAGAACCAGGCAGCACAGGGACAGTGGGAGGTGAGCTGCTGTCGGGATAAAGATGCTATGCAAGAATAATCCATGCAGATAAGCAGGAGCAATTATGGGAGGCCTTTTATTTATAAAGCAAAACATGAGTGGAATTTTAGCTCACCCTCAAAATGAGAGAGAAACAGGCAGGCAGACTAGTTCCTGAGTGTTATATCTTCTGATTGACAGGCACACAGAAAATGATGGTCACTCATTAGATAACTCATAGGAAAGGTGCACATAAGAGTTGTAGACATGTTCCTTTTGGAATATAGATTATATATATGTCTATGTATATATATTGTGTATATGTGTGTATATATAATATATACATATATATGTATATGGGGTGGCTCATGCCTGTAATCCCAGCACTTTGGGAGGCCAATGCAGGCGGATCATGAGGTCAGGAGTTTGAGACCAGCCTGGCCAACATGGAGAAATCCTGTCTCTACTAAAAATAGAAAAATTAGCCGGGCGCAGTGGCATGTGCCTATAATCCCAGGTACTCGGGAGGCTGAGGCAGGAGAACCGCTTGAACCCGGGAGGCGGAGGTTGCAGTGAGCTGAGATCGCACCACTGCACTCCAGCTTGGGCAACAGAGTAAGATTCCATCTCAAAAAAAAAAAAAAAGTATATGTATATATACGTATATAATTTGCAGGTCAGAAACATTGCAACTGGATCAGAAAATGTTAGGCACTTACTTGCAGACATGTACCTGGGATACAGTTCTTGTGAACTTAACCTTGGAAAACAGAAAGGGTGTGTCTCCAAAGCTCCACTAGAAGGAAGAAAATCTGCAGCATTCTGGCTGTCTGCAGCTGCTGTCATCAGAACTTCTTAAGGACAATGCTTTAAACAAGCCTAGTTCTTTATATTAGAACCCTCCACTTAGCACCTATATTTCAGTAATATGTTTATCCAAAAATACTCAATAATTTTAAAACTATACTATACATTTATACTTGTATAAAATGTAAAACATATAAAATAGGAAGTTATAATATGCAAAGTATATATTATATGCTTTGTGATTACTTATGATAATTTTTTAGGAAAAAATTCTTAGAAAAAATACACATGAAGATTCCAGCTCCTAATATTTTAAGAAAATATAGTATTAGATGTAGACGAGTACCAGAGTATCCCTGGGATTCACTGGGATTTCCTTCCTATGGGCATGTTCTACTCTTGACCATATCAGGGGATCACTGCTTGCCGAAGCGTACATAATAAATAAATAAATACACTTTATGTTGAGTTAGGACCAGATTTAACCAGATCTAACTTTCATTCTGTTTAAGCTTTAAATGATGTATCTGAAAAACATCCCGTCTTAATCCGAAGTGATCCTAAATTATTCGCATGATTCTCTTCCTATTACCCTATCCATTTCTGGGTTTGAGTAGTTACAATAACAACGACATTAACAATAAACTGAGCAGATGAGGGAAGTAGAAGAGGACAGTCCTCATGAAAGCCCCCTTGTACTTGTGAGTGACTGGGACGTGGGCATCGTTACTCTTTGGCCATGTCTTCTAGGAAGCTTTCTGCACCATGTCACCACTAGGGGATACCGGAGGCTTTCCTTTGTCCTGGAGAAAGCAGCTGCTTTCCAGGTGTCCTTTGGGACTGGAATAAACCTGGAGGTTCTGAGCTTCTCTCTTTTCCTTTTTAGGGGCTTCCTCTGGGGGCATAGGTTCAGTAGAAGAAATTATTTCACTGATGCTATTAAAACACAGCTCTTATTATAGCTCAGATCATGTTGCAAGGCCTAATAAATAATAACCTAGGTGGCAACCTTTCACATCTTTGTGTAGCCCTCTGAACTAAATGTATAACTAAGTGTTCATTCACTGTTTCAGCAAATGGTTGTGGGACACACACCCTGAGCCAGGCCCACTGGAATACAGTGGGAAGCAAAGTCGACATGATTCCTGCCCCTGCAGAGAGACTGACTGACTCTTGTCTCTGACAGTGCAGAGACTGACTCATGCTCACGCGTGGATTTCTCCTGCCTGAGATTTTCTTTTAAATTCGAGTTAATTAAAAGTTGGAAGATTTCACATTAAAATCTGAACTTCCAGCCTGTCTTGGAACATGTGAGGCTTTGTCCATACTTGGCCTGCATTCCTGCATAGCAACCGTAGGCCGAAGCCCAGCAGAGGCTGAGCTCTTTAGACAGGCATGCACTCTGGTTCGCCACAGTCTCCATCATTCCTCCTTGTCTGTGGCCCTGCCTACTTCACATGCCTCTGTTACCTGGTTGCCCCAGGATGCATTCGGAATCCCAACCCTTGGTTTTTGCATCCCATACATGGTCTTTCAGCTGATATATTCTGTGGCCTGAACCATATAGATGAATCAAAACTTGGTTGAATTAGTAACTATTTTTTAAAATAAAAATCATCACTTCCATTTATTTTTATTTCTTGCTAAATGTTTTCAGTGTCTGAAAGAGTAGACTGTTTAATGACACATAAAAACCCATCTCTTTAGACTGAAAATTTCACTGACTTGTCTCCTTCAATTTAGCTTCCAGCTTTACTGCCAGCTGCTGCCTTTAGAATTTCCCTGAGCTCCTTCTTGTGAGCTCACACACCATCCCAGCCCACCCTGCCCTCATCCCAGCTCCCTGACACCAAGTACCATGTCCTTGGCCCCTGGTCATCTAGGACTTGGGACAGCTGCCTGCTTGGCCAATCCTCTGCTCAGCCATCAGTCATCAGATGACGACTCAGGAACAACTGCTCACATGATCTAGGTTGAGTGTTTTCCGTTTAAACCTTTTTGCAGCAAAATCCTGCTTTCACATACACACACACACACAATATGAAATCCTAAATATATAAAACATGTTAAAAAGTTGTGGCTGGGCGTGGTGGCTCACACCTGTAATCCCAGCGCTTTGGGAGGCCAAGGCAAGTGGGTCGCTTCAGCTCAGGAGTTTGAGGCCAGCCTGGCAACATAGTGAAACCCCATCTCTATCAAAAAAAATTAGCCAGGTGTGGTTGCACACACCTGTGGTCCCAGCTACTTGGGAGGCTGAGGTTGGGGGATCACTTGGGCCTAGGGGACGGAGGTTGCAGTGGGCTGAGATCTTGCCACTGAACTCCAGCCTGGGCAGTAGAGTGAGACTCCTGTTTCAATTAATAAATTAAATAAATAAATAAATAAAAGAAGTATACTGACCCAACAACAACAAAAAAAGTAACAGAGAAATGTATCTTACGTGTCATGGAATTTGTCAGGTCTTGCTTTTCTTAGAATCTGACGGCCAAGATTACTTAGAAAAAGCAGTGTATTTCTTTAGGAAGAAACTGTCAGGTGAGTTTTGAAAGAACATAGTAGAATTGCATATTAATATATTATTGCCCAGTTCCTTAATTTATCTAATTCTTTTCACACGTACAGATTTTTAGGGAAAATGTAGATTCTTAGAAGATCAAAAAATGCAAACTGAAAGACATCTAAATAAATATTCTCAGTGTAAAGACAATGGTAGAAAGAGACAGAATGATGAACTCAAGTAGACAGATTATAAACTCTGAGAGAGAAAAAAGACCAAGTAAAGGATAGGTCCTGCTCTACTCACCATTCACCACCATCCCTGGTGGCCGGCATGCGTCCTGGGTGACTTAGCCATGGCCCTTCCCTCTTGTCCCCCAGGATGTGGTGGTGGTCGGGGAGGAAAACTTCACCACCCCCTGCTACATTCAGCTGGATGCAGAGGCCTGCCACATCCTCACAGAGAACCTCAGCACCTACGCCCTGGTAGGACATTCCACCACCAAAGCGGCTGCGAAGCGCCTCAAGCTGGCCATCTTTGGGCCCCTGTGCTGCTCCTCGCTGGAGTACAGCATCCGAGTCTACTGTCTGGATGACACCCAGGATGCCCTGAAGGTAAGTGCCTCCCACCTAGCCTGCCCTCTTCACCTCCACCTGGAAGCCAAGGTTTTGCACGGCTGTGCACACTTGGAGATGTGGCTGTGTGTGTGCACCCAAGTGTGTGGACACGTGTTTGGCCCAAAAGGATGCACTTAAAAAAGATAGACATTTCTCTGAGGCCATGCTGATATATGAGCTGTTTACACTGATTCCTCCCAAGGGCTACTTTGTTTACCTTCCTTGATTTCTTTTAATGAAAAATTTAGAAGAATTTGGCAACGAGACCCGTGGATGGTAAATAATCTGCTTCCATGTTTATCTCAGCTGCGTTCTTCCTATAAAAGGAATTGGCATAATTGCTCACACTGTATGTTCCTCTGGTGTGCTGCTTCATTTATATGCTTTCCTATTCTTTTTATGAGGGCTGTGAAGGAGCGGGTTAGCATTTGACAACAGGCTGCTGCTTTGCAGAATAAATGAGCTTAATTCCTGGTGTGATTATTGCCATTCATTTTATCCCATTCGAAGCTTTAAGGGATATAGTAAGTGCCTTTGAAGAACTTATGATATAGAAGGAGGAATAAAAGAAGTATGCCAAGGTTGAGGAGGTAAGTCAGAGGGTGAGAAATGCCACAGTGGCTGACATGCAAAGTGCTATATGGGAGCTCAGGAGACGGAGGCATCATTACTTTGAGGAAATCTGAAAAGGAGCTAATATTTGATGATTGGCCCTAATGGAGGATTGGGTTTTGACCAGCAATAGTAGAGGGAAAAATACAAGATTTCTAGGTGGAGGGAACAGCGTGAATAAACACAGAAGCAAACAATAAATAAAGACCCTCGGCCGGGTGTGGTGGCTCACGCCTGTAATCCTAGCACTTTGGGAGGCTAAGGCGGGTGGATCACGAGGTCAGGAGATCAAGACCATCCTGGCTAACACGGTGAAACCCCGTCTCTACTAAAAATACAAAAAAATTAGCCGGGCATGATGGCAGGCATCTGTAGTCCCAGCTACTCAGGAGGCTGAGGCAGGAGAATGGCGTGAACTGGGGAGGCAGAGGTTGCAGTGAGCCGAAATCGCCTCACTGCATTCCAGCCTAGGCGACAGAGTGAAACTCTGTCTGAAAAAAAAAAAAGAAGACTCTCTGCAGGCATATTATTTCTGGTAAGCCTAGAATAATAGATAGGAATTTTGTCTAGATGGACCTTTACGGCCAGAGAGAGGAGCTGAGATTCAGTTCTTGAGTTAATGGAGATTGGAGAGGTTTAAACAGAAAAAAGACATGATTGAAAATACATATTAGAAATATCAGCCTGACTTCAGTGAAAAGGTGAGTCAAAGTATGCAGGAACGTGTGATGGAGCTGAATGATGACAGGGGAGTGAGATGGAGAGAACAAGCCTAAAAAGTCCTGTTCAAGTGGCCTTTCGAGAATCCCATGACGAGCGCTCAATGGATGGGGCGGAAGGTCAAGTTCCTGCCTCTGAGTCATAGAAGCAAACTCAGGGGTCAGGATGCCTTGGGGTGTAGAGATTGTGCCTGTCTTAGACAGTTTGGGCAGCTCTGACAAAGTACCACGGACTGGGTGGCATAAACAACAAACTTATTTCTCACAGTTCCAACCCAGACTTCCAGTGTGGAGGCTGAAAATCTGAGATCAAGATGCCAGCATGGGTGGGCTCTGATGAGGAACTGCTGACATTTTGCTGTGTCCTCACGTGGTGGAGAGCTGGGGAGAGAGCTCTCTGGGATCTCTCTTACAAGGCTACTAATCCCATTCCTAAGGGCACCACCTTTATGACCTAATCACCTCCCAAAGGCCTCACCTCCTAATACTATCACACTGGGGGTTAGGATTACAACGTATGAATTTGGGGGGGGCACAGATATCACTCCATAACAGTGACTGTGCCTTTTCTTTTGGAATACTGAATTAGAGGTATAAAAGATGCCCAAGGCACGGTTAGAAATACGGATATGGTTCTCTGAACAGAGAGCAGATTTTGAAACAGAGATTCAGAAACCAACTACGTTATGTTGATAATTGTTATCCACAGTGGTCAGGAAGAATATCAAGAGAGAGTAGAGGGAGAAGATAATCATAAAAATAATCAAGATGACTGAGAGCTTCTATATTTTTGGCAAAATTCTAAATATTTTATATTAACTCATTTAATCTTCATTTTATCTATAAGGCACCATTAACTCCACTTTATAGATGTATCATCCAAGGCACAGAAAGTTTAAGTAAGTTGCCCTAGGTCACACAGCTGTTAAGTGGAGAAAGCAGGCTTCATGCCCAGGCAACTGGCTGCAGCCTGGCTGCTCTGCCCCTAAGCAAAGTTGCTTGAAGACCTATACCCTAGAGCCTGGGGACCAGGGAAAGCCCTGGCTTTGCAAGGAAGGAGGAAGGGCAGCCAGCAAAGGAGCTAAAGAAGGATAAGCAGCCAGATTAGGAATAGAAATGGAAGAAAAATGAATCAAGGAAGCCAAGGAAAGAAAGTTTTTCTGAATATCAGGGTATTTCCATCTGGAGCTTCCGTTCAGAGAGTAGTACTTGGTTATGAACACTGAGCGTTCCAGGATAAGTCCACTGGGAAGCAGGCTCCAGGGGAAAAGACTGTAGAGGGCACGAGTGGAAACAGGAAGGTGAGCTAGAAGCCTGTTGCCATCATCTGTTCACCATGGTAGATTTGACCAGCATGGTCTTGGGGAAGGGATGAGACCTCTTGGGTCAGCGCATATAATTTTGATAGTCAAGCCTGTAAGATTTTCTGATGTCGAATAAAAGTTGTGAACACACAGCTCTAATGTAAAGCTTAAGGTTATTTCTTTTATATTCCTTGCAAATGTGATACATCCAAAGCACTGTCAGGATAGGAATCATGCTGGGTTTGAATTAGGGAAAATGGTATCTGTAGGGGAGCCATGGGGTCTGATTAAGGCAAATCTTTTCAACAGTTCCAAGAAAATCGTTGCAAAAGCGTACCATAGAAGACCTACATCATATTTGAAGTGTTTGATTTACATATTTTATATTCACACACATAGTTCTCTCCTCAGCCACCTTGTTTTCCCAATAAACACACACAAATACATGCAAAAATAGAATATTTTATAAAAATAATTCTGATTATTATAATTAGTGAACCCAAGACGCAAATGGTCAATAGTGAGAAAGAGTGATGAACAGGTTTAAGCAGCAAAAACAACTCAAGAGCAGTTTGTATCATGGTCAATGCTTTCTAAATAGACATTTATAAATTCTCAGCATCTGGGGATCTAGCACTTAGCCTGAAACAAACATGAATAATGGATGAGGCTTTCTTGCACCTCATGGCCTTTTAATAATGCAGAAATACCAAAATCCTAGTTATAGGCAAATGGCCTCTCCAACATACCGAAGAGACAATTATTTCAGTCACGCCATCTCTTCCTCACACCCACGCTTGAATTGGAAATTTGGGGCTGATTAGCTCAAAAAGCCCTTTATTACTAAAACTCTGCCTTCTTGGCGCCCTGCTAATGTTCCCAACATACTCTCTCCCATCTCGCTACTTCTCTAACCACTGTTGCCCAGAAATACTTCCTCTTGCAACACACCTCCTGAAGGCCTCCTTCTCCTTCAGGCCTGCCCCCATCCTGACTCACGCTCATGCTCTTCCAAAATCAGGAATTCTCAGCGCACAGAGGAAGCAGGTGGAAGCTTTTATAAAAACCCACTCCAGGGCCTCACTCCCACAGGTTCTGATCTAATTGGTCTAGGTATTGGGGCATTTTATTTTCTTAATACTCCCTGGGTTATTCTATTGTGCCACCAAAGTTAAGAGCTATTATCCTAAACACTTTCCCAAATCTTTTTGGAACTTTAATTCTACTAAGAACAAACTTTCCTACAACCTCACGTCATTCCCTTTCCCATTGCTCCACCTGCTCTCATTAACTGCCAGTGGATCTTCCTGGTAACACCTCACAATGCCTCCAGCGAAGACTGTACCCCTAACAAACCCCAAGGCCAAGAGGAAATGTGCCAGTACTTCTCATACCCCATGACCCTTTCTGGGGCATCTCTTCACTGCCCAGGCTGGATGGTTCTACTTCTACTCATGCCCACTTCAGTTCCTTTGCACAGAGCTCTGTGGATCCTGCCCTACCAGTACTTGCCTTGTGGTCTGTCTTTCCATCCATTTTATTCCCATCATTCCCTCAAATTCAGTGTCATGACTTAAATCACAGTCTCTCTGCCCAAACTTATTCTAGTAGCATTCACATCATCTTACATTATCTATTCACTGGCATAGATGTGCTCTGGATTTCATCTTCATTAGCAATTGCTCCACTGCCAAGATCTCCACCTGTCAGACTCCCCCTTTCTGACTACAACCATCTGACCTTCCATCTCTCTCTCCCACAAGATGCGTGGAAGCTACCCTTTGTTCTTAAGGAGAGGCTCCCTCACTGGGCACGGTGACTCACGCCTGTAATCCCAGCACTTTGGGAGGCCAAGGCGGGTGGATCACCTGAGGTCAGGAGTTCAAGACCAGCCTGGCCAACATGGTGAAACCCCGTCTCTACTGAAAATGTAAAAATTAGCTGGGCGTGGTGGTGTGCCCCTGTAAATCCCAGCTACTGAGGAGGCTGAGGTGGGAGAGTTGCTTGAACCTGGGAGGCGGAGGCTGCAGTGAGCAGAGATCGCACCACGGCACTCCAGCCTGGGTGGCAGAGCGAGACCCCATCTCTTAAAAAAAAAAAAAAAAAAAAAAAGGGAGAGGCTCCCTCAACCTGCTGCAGTTTCCCAGTCCAAAAACCCTCCCCTGGTCTTACCCGTATGGGCAGCAAACTCGCTTCCACACTGAACTCTCTCGTCATTATGAGCTGCTGCAGCCTTTTCTAATTTATAACCAAGGATACCCTCCACTGAATAAGCCCACTACTTCTACTTCCAGGTTGATGAGTTGCTATGAAAAATCATACATTTCTGATTGGGTCTATTATACTCTCAAGATACCTGTTCTAAGGGATGCCTTCCCTGCTTCTCCGTAATCCTTTTATTTAGCTCTTCTTGACTTACCCGATTCCCACGGCAGTTCTTCCATGTATCTTCTGCTCTCAGGAAGTCCCTGGCTGTTTTAAAGCCCGCATCTTGCCTAGCAGTGACCTAACCACTCAATGAAAGCTCCCCCAGCTGCGGTCCTCTACCCTCCAAACCTTTTACTTCAGCCTCTTCTCACTTCATCTGACTCTGATGAAAAGGATCTCTGCTTCCTTGTTTGTGCTTTAATCCAATTCCTGACCACCTCCATCTTCAGCATAGCAAATGATGCCTGAGGCTGCATTTACCAGCATTTGATATTTTCGTATAGTAACTGCTATGTGCTGGGGATTCTTTACAAATTGCAGAAAAATCCACAGAAATGCTGGACTAGGGCAGAGATAGAAGCCCAGTGGAGTACTTATTCTCAGGGAATGAGTCCAGGAGAGCTATTGCAAAAAGACTGCCCCAATGTCTGGAGCTGTGTATTTCAAGAATGTGAATTATCACTTTTTATTATTATTATATGTGGTTATATTATCCATGTGGATAGATAATACATTTATTTATATAAGTATATATCCTATAGATATATAATTACATATATAATATATAAATATTATATATTACATAAATATAATATAAAAATATATATTATATATTACATAAATATAATATATAAATATATATTATATATTACATAAATATAATATATAAATATATATTATATATTACATAAATATAATATATAAATATATATTATATATTACATAAATATAATATATAAATATATATTATATATTACATAAATATAATATATAAATATATATTATATATTACATAAATATAATATATAAATATATATTATATATTACATAAATATAATATATAAATATATATTATATATTACATAAATATAATATATATATTATATATTACATAAATATAATATATATATTATATATTACATAAATATAATATATATTTGTACATTTATTTATATTATCCATATGGATGGATAACACACTCAGTCTTAAGCAACTGTGATGCATTTTTTCTTCTCCCTACTCACCTCTTTGAGCTTGGCAGCTTTTGTAACAATTTTCCAGGGTTTTGTTAAGCCTTGGGGCAAAAATGGTCACCTGAAACTTAAAAGCTGTGTTTAGCAATTTGAAAGCACTGATACAGAATTAGCATGTTGGCAGTGACTACCAGAGCAAAAGTCAAGGCTGATGGGCAACAGTGGAATTATTTTATACCTTTCAGGAGGGCTTTTTCCTGTGCATGTGCTTGAAGGACCACTGGGAGCAATGCTCTAGTTGTGTTCACATAAAAGGATAAAGATGCTAAGAATTGTGAGAATAGTTTGGAATCAATTCAAATAGAGAGGTCAAGTCTATTGAAAAGGTTGAGTTTGGTATATCAGAGCTTTTCTTTTTCCCCCGTCTTCAGGTGATTAATGAAAAAGGTGTTTTCCTTTCATTATTTGCAATGACTTAAATCCTAGTATAAATAGACCAGAAATTAACCAAGAGCAAGGTTATATTTGGAGTAAGTTTAAAAACACCTAGGAGAAACATACGTCTATGTGGAAATAAGTCATTTCTGTCCCAGTATCCAAAGGGTACAATACCTGACAGTCTCTTTTTGGAATAAAGGGTTTTATACTAAACTCTGAGATTCAGAACCTAAAAAAGGAGTTATTTTCATACATTATGGGCAGTGTATGATATTTATTGAATTTCTGACAAATGTATTTGTGATATAAATCAAATAATGTGTATTAACATAACCTGGCTTTTTTTTTTTTGATGGACTCATTGGGCATGGAGAAGACCTTCCTTGGATAAATTTCATGTGCCCTAATCCCAACTGTAATAGAGTAACTCTGTGAAAGCTTGTATTATGTGAAAAGAGAAGAGAAGAATGAAAGAAACACTGGAAGGTGAAGAGAGAGAAAGGAGGTTGGCGGAAGTCTAGTTGAGAATTGTGTGATGCTCACGTTCTTGGGCCACAGTCATGGACAGTCAGACGTGGCTTGTTACAGGGAGAAGGTAGTTATATTTTTATCCTGCTACCTGTCACATTCCTCACTGATGTCCTCCTGGCATTTCCTCGGCAAGCTGTGACCTTACCGAACTCTGAACTCCTCACGCTTGCTTCTTCTAGGTCTTCTAAGGCTGATCTTCCCTGGAATTATCCTAGTATCCATACCTACTCTTATAGTTCCCACAAACAACCTCAAAAATAGCCTTACCTGTATACTTTCAGGATCCTGGCCTCTGGAGTTAAACTAATATATTCACATGTGCAACATGTGAATTAGAGACCAACAACAAAACGTGTGTTAAAGGTTCCTAGTGCATCATTGCTGCTGTGTGTATGGGAGGGAGCGTGGTACAGCAGCAAAGCTCGAGTCAGGCTGGCTGCCGTGACTGGCTGTGCCACTTATCAGCCTGGTGGCCCTGGTCACTGAATTTGACCTCTTAGGACAGTAATTTGGTCTGCATCAAGGACTCTTTGAAGTTCTAAGGACATCAAAGTTATTAAATCTCCTGGCACAAAATAGACACCAGACACTGTTTGCCATGCGTATGTGGGCATTTAGACTTCAGTGGCATTTTGAAGATAATGGCTTAAGGAAGATATTAAATCTAACTGGAATCTAACTGTGGGGTGAGTTTCAGGTTTGGTAGCGGTCTGGTTGATTAGACATTTAGTCACAGGGATATTTTTGGTGCCTCTAAATTTACCCCATTTTTATCATCTTCTGATGAAATCTGGCCCTGGGTCTATCACCTATCTTAGAAATGACTTGCCATGTTGAACTTACTTTTTGAAAGAGAGAGAAAACAGAAAGAAAACAGAAGTTGTGGTATGCAGAATAACACCCCTGCCCCCACCCAAGGATGTTTACAGGTTAATATTCAAAACCTGTGAGTATTTTACCCTACATGGCAAAACAGTCTTTGCAGATATGATTGTGTGATTTCAGGAGATTATCCGGGACCATCTGGGTGAGTCCAGTCTAATTACATGGTTTTGAAGGTGGAGAACTTTTTCCAGCTATGGTCAGAAAGGGATATGACTGCAGAAAAAGGCTCAGAGAAATCTGTCATTGTTGGATTTGAAGACAGCGGAAGGGGACCGTGAGCCAAAGAATGTGAGAAACCTCTGGAAGGTGGAGAAGACCCAGTACAGATTCTCCTCTCGGGGCTCTGGAGAGGAGGGCAGCCCCACTGACACACCTTGATTTTAACTCAACGAGAACTGTGTTACTCCCACCCTCCAGAACTGTGAGATAATCAGTTTGTGTTATTTTTTAAGTCACTATGTTAGTGGTGATTTCTTATGGCAACAGTAGAAAACTAATATAGAAGTTTAAAAATAATGTGTTAACAGGAGAAAAGAAACACAAGATGACTTCAAAAGTCCTAGAAAAACCTACAAAGTCCTGTTCCTAATACATAGATGTGAGAGAGAACTGTTGTCCTAAGAGCACGCCCAGAGGTAGACAAGTGACACGCTGCTTGCCTGAGCACCACCCGTTGGCATTTGGCTTTAAAAGTGTCACAAACTGCCCTGACTGTGCAGGCTGGAAGTGGCAGCTCAGACCAAGCATCCGTGGCCACAGCAGCTGTGGGAACAGCAGGCAGAGCCCTAGAAACGAAGCAACTTGACGGGGAGATGTTTGCAGATGGGCACCAGAGTCCAGCCTTGTTATTATTAGGGAAGAAGTAAGGCAGACAAACTCAGGGGGAGAGCAGAGCACCCTGGCGTGAACACAGGAAGGGAAAGGAGCAAAGCCAGGCCGGGCGCCAGGGATGGCGACCCGAGCAGGTGGGAGAGGCCGGGCTGACAGTCAGATGTTCTCCACTGCCTGGCTCAGCAGTCTGAGGCCTGCAAGCCGGAGAGGAGGGGACAGAGCATGGGGGGCTGACAGCAGCGTCGCCGAAAAGCTGGCAGAGAACAGGAGAGAAGGGCGGCCGCTCTTTTTGGCCTCTGCTTCGGTGGAGTGCAGGCCCCCACAGCTGTGACAGAGACAGCAGTGACAGCCACCATCGCAAAGGCACAGATTTCTCAGCCCCAAATGACAAGGGCAGGTTTTCGACACATGATAATGAACAGAAGAAAGGCAGGTTCCATGAAATCTGATGGCAGATGTGATTTTTTTTAAACACCAGCCAGCACAGTCATTGAGGGCTGGCCTTTTGAAGTTTCATATGAGTGGCATGCTGCACATTTGCTGGTCTGTTCTTTGTGTCTGTGTCCCAGAATCAAGGTGAAGGTGGGGCACCGCTGCAGTACAACTCAGCCTCCTGTGCCGGCTCCAGCACGGAGAGCGGTTCTATCTCCAGGAGCCAGAAAGCCGAACCAAAGCAAAAAACAGCCAGAGTGCCAGGCTGGCCACTGCTTCGCTTCCTGCCTTCTGTGCTGTCCTCTCCATGTAGCGATCTCAGCGACTTTCCCTCAGTAGCTACCTCCACCTGCTCATGCTTCTGCTGCTGATGCCTGGCCTCGTGGCAGCAGTAAATCCAGCCAATGCATGGTTCTGTGTTTCTCTCAAACATGAAGACTGCCTGGAGAAATAACATCCAGAAACAATATAAAGAAAGAAGCTAGCAGAGTGAAACACATCCTGGATTTCATCGCCTTCCAGCCTTCCCTTCAAGAGAGATTTCAGTGGGTTATATGAGACTTAACTTTAATCATTTCTTTCATCCTTTCTTTAGCCTGTATGGTTTCTAAAAAGGGAAAGAAAAGAAAGACAGAAAAGTAGTTGGAGAGAGAACAAGAGAGAGGCAGAGAGGGAGAGAAAGAAGCTATGGATCATATAATCCACAAATAGCATAACTGCCCCTTGAAAAACTGGAAGGCATAACACATGCCTTGAGGAAGAAGGTGGTGCAATTTTGGGGCACTGGAGTGAGAGAGGGGCAAGTTGTTATGCAGGGCAAGGGTGAGCAGAGGAAGAGGTGAGCAGAGAAGTAGGGTGAGCAGGGGAGGAAGTGAGCAGGGGAGGAGGGTGAACAGAGGAGGTGAGCAGGGGAAGAGGTGAGCAGAAGAGGTGAGCAGGAGAGGAGGGTGAGCAGGGGAGAAGGTGAGCAGGGAAGGAGGTGAGAAGGTGAGGAGGTGAGCAGGGGAAGAGGTAAGCAGAAGAGGCGACCAGGAGAGGAAGATGAGCAGGGGAGGAGGTGAGCAGGGGAGGAGAGGTGAGAAGGGGAAGAGGTGAGAAGGGGAGGAGGTGAACAGGGAAGGAGATGAGAAGGGGAGGAGGTGAACAGGGGAGGAGGTGAGAAGGGGGGAGGAGGTGGGCAGAAGAGGTGAGCAGGAGAGGAGGATGAGCAAGGGAGGAGTGAGCAGGGGAGAAGGTGAGCAGGGGAGGAGGTGAGCAGGGGAGGAGGTGAGAAGGGGAGGAGGTGAGAAGAGGTGGGCAGAAGAGGTGAGCAGGAAAGGAGGGTGAACAGGGGAGGAGGGTGAGCAGAGGAGGGCGAGCAAAAGAGGTGAGTAGAGGAGGATATGAGAAAGGGAGGAGGTGAGCAGGGGAAGAAGGTGAGCAGAAGAGGTGAGCATGGGAGGAGGATGAGCAGGGGAGGAGGGGAGGAAGTGAGCAGGGGAGGAAGGTGAGCAAAGGAGGAGGTGAGCAGGGGAAGAGGGTGAGCAGAGGAAGTGAGCAGAGGAGGAAGGTGAACAGAAGAGGTGAGCAGGAGAGGAGGATTAGCAGGGGGGAGGGGAGGAGGTGAGCAGGGGAGGAAGGTGAGCAGAAGAGGTGAGCAGGGGAGGAGGTGGGCAGGGGGAAGGGTGAACAGAGGAGGGGAGAAAGGGAGGAGGGTGAGTGGGGAGGAGGTGAGCATGGGAGGAGGCTGAGCAGAGGAGAAAGGTGAGCAGAAGAGGTGAGCAGGGGAGAAGGTGAGAAGGGAGGAAGGTGGGCAGAAGAGGTGAGCAGGGGAGGAGGGTAAGCAGAGGAGGATGTGAGAAAGGGAGGAGGTGAGCAGGGAAGGAGGGTAAGCAGGGGAGGAGGTGATTGGGGAGGAGAGTGAACAGAGGAGGCGGCGAACAGAGGAGCAGGTGAGCATGGGAGCAGGAGAGGAGTGCGAGCAGGGAAGGAGGGAGAGCAGGGGAGAAAGGTGAATAGAGGAGGAGGGTGAGCACAAAGTGGGGTTGGTGGGGAGGGTGAGCAGAGGGTGTAGGCAACAAAGCCAGGGTCCGGAGCACTAGCCCACCAGATCCGCTGTGGGACCCTAGCACCTCACAATTTTTGGCACAAAATCACCACTGTGCAGGGCTCTGTAACCCAGCTTCAGCCTGGACCCTGGGGGCAGACTTGTCATACTCTAATAGATATACTTCAAAGCATCCAAGTATATGCCACTCTGTTGCCTGGGGGCTCCCAGTGAGCAATAGCTGTAAGCCTGATACTTAATGGAAATTTGCCCAAGCATGGAAGGAACAGGCAGAGAGACAACAAGAGAAGCAGATGAGGCAGATGAAATCTAACCCGGACATAATGCAGAGTGGGAAACTCGGGGGCTGGACAGACCAGAGTGGAGGAGTGGCTTGGCTCGCAGATGTATCCTCCCTCCTGCCTCTCTGTCAAGCCTTAACGAGGGGAGATCCTCTCATCTAAGAGCCTGGGAGCATTCTGGGTAGAGGCCAGAGGTGCCTCCTTTGTGCACACAAGCCTTTAAAACAGCCTGGATTTATTGTGGCTCTTAAGTGGCCCAGGCTAATGGCTTGGCATGGATAATGTCTTGGTTTAATTGGTTATTGTGAAAGCTGCTTGTTTCTACTGTGGAATCTCTTGTCCTGCCTTTGGAGCAATCCCTCACAGGCTCCCTGAATCAATATAGCCCTCACTCTGGGCCGGCCAGTCTGCTTTGGAGGCAGCGCCCGCAGTGGGGAAAGAGGCCCTCCCACAGGATTGCTCAGATCCCTGGCGGACGCTGGGCTCTGAGGCAGGTGGCCTGCTTCTGGTGACTGATGGTTCGCGTGTGTAGATGTGCATGGGCTACAGACACATTTATTGATGACCTACTCTTGAGGGTGTCTTTGCAAGGAAAAGTTAGAGGGGTGCAGATAGAACTGTACAAGGGGGGCTGGGCGCAGTGGCTCATGCCTGTAATCCCAGCACTTTGGGAAGCTGAAGTGGGAAGTTTACTTGAGTGCAAGAGTTCAAGGAGCAACAAGGCAAGACTTTGTCCCGACAAAAAAAAAATTTTTTTATTCTACTTTAAGTTCTCGGGTACATGTGCACAATGTGCAGGTTTGTTACATATGTATACATGTGCCATGTTGGTGTGCTGCACCCATTAACTCCTCATTTACATTAGGTATATCTCCTAATGCTATCCCTCCCGCCTCCCCCCACCCCACAACAGTCCCCGGTGTGTGATGTTCCCCTTCCTGTGTCCCTGTGTTCTCATTGTTCAATTCCCACCTATGAGTGAGAACATGTGGTGTTTGGTTTTTTGTTCTTGTGATAGTTTACTGAGAATGATGGTTTCCAGCTTCATCCATGTCCCTACAAAGGACATGAACTCATCATTTTTTATGGCTGCATAGTATTTCGTGTGTATATGTGCCACATTTTCTTTATTCAGTCTATCATTGATGGGCATTTGGGTTGGTTCCAAGTCTTTGCTATTGTGAATAGTGCCGCAATAAACATACATGTGCATGTGTCTTTATAGCAGCATGATTTATAGTCCTTTGGGTATATACCCAGTAATGGGATGGCTGGGTCAAATGGTATTTCTAGTTCTAGATCCCTGAGGAATCGCCACACTGACTTCCACAATGGCTGAACTAGTTTACAGTTCCACCAACAGTGTAAAAGTGTTCCTATTTCTCCACATCCTCTCCAGCACCTGTTGTTTCCTGACTTTTTAAAGATCACCATTCTAACTGGTGTGAGATGATATCTCATTGTGGTTTTGATTTGCATTTCTCTGATGGCCAGTGATGGTGAGCATTTTTTCATGTGTCTGTTGACTGCATAAATGTCTTCTTTTGAGAAGTGTCTGTTCATATCCTTCGCCCACTTTTTGATGGGGTTGTTTGTTTCTTTCTCGTAAATTTGTTTGAGTTCATTGTAGATTCTGGATATTAGCCCTTTGTCAGATGAGTAGATTGCAAAAATTTTCTCCCATTCTGTAGGTTGCCTGTTCACTCAGATGGTAGTTTCTTTTGCTGTGCAGAAGCTCTTTAGTTTAATTAGATCCCATTGTCAATTTTGGCTTCTGTTGCCATTGCTTTAAAAGTAGCCAGGTGCAGTGGCATGAGCCTGTAGTCCCAGCTACTTGGGAGGCTGAGGTGGGAGGACTGCCTGAGCACAGAGGTCGAGGCTGCAGTGAGCTATGATCACGCCACTGCACTCCAGCCTGTGCTACAGAGCAAGAAAGAAGGTGTCTAAAAATATTTTGAATAAAAGAACTGTGAAAGGAAGTCAGAAACTGTCTCCCTTCTCACAGAAGCAAAACAAGCTCATCAAAGCAACAGGTGGATTCACCTAGAGCCAAACTAGGCCACTGAGGTGGGGGAACTCCCAGTAGGAAGGACAACTTCTGCAAAGGAACTTGACGTTCAGGTTTCTGAGAACAAAGAGGCCAGATGATCCGCATCCTTACTATAGCATTTCTTTCCAGGGTCACGATATTTCTCTTAAGTCTTCCTAAATCTTCTGACATTAAATATATTTTGTTCATATTCTATTTTAAGGTGTGTGAAATATCCTAACCTTTGTGATTCAAGAGCAGCCTGTCTGGAAGTGGTTTTAGACCTGAGCACACTGTGTTGTGGTTACATGTTTACAGGTCACCCCCCAACCCCCATGAACCATTAGCCCATTAGCAGTTTAAAGCAGTGACAGGGACTTACTTGTCTGTGTGCTCCAGACCTGACATGGTTCCTGGCAGCCTAACGTGTCTCACTGATGTTGAATGAATGTTCCCAGGGAGAGGAAGCAGAGGAAAACATTGAACTGTAAAGCCATGTCTTATTGAGTTGTATATTTGTTATTTTT
Organism: Homo sapiens; assembly: GCF_000001405.40. NCBI lineage: Eukaryota > Metazoa > Chordata > Mammalia > Primates > Hominidae > Homo > Homo sapiens. The sequence continues at coordinate 95,188,690 of NC_000004.12, read as the reverse complement.
CTGTCCTCTTACATATCTGTATCATATAAATAACCAAAATGAGATCATGTGCGAAGAATTCAGAAAATCAAGCAGTGTGAAATACAAGTTGCAGCATATTTTTAAGTGGAATCTGCTGGAGTAAATCTCAAATTGTAACACTTAAAATGGTAACACAAGACAAAGCCTGATTAGCCTTTCGGGCAGGCTTGCTTCTTCTATCATCTGACACAAAACTCTATTTGAGATTCGCCGTATGTGACGAGTCAGCTCCTGTTCCTGTGTGGTTTTAGATTATACTCGTTTCCCAGGAGTTGCTGGATGATCGACTGAGATCTCTTTAACTCACACCATGGTTTTTGTCCTCTCCTTTTTTCTGTTATGCTTTCCTATGTCATGAACGTCTTTAGTGCAACGATACCAGTTGCCACTTTGCGGGAAGGGGTGTTAAGTGTGGTAAGGTTACTGAATCCTTCACTGCTGGGCTGAATTCTTCCCCAGGTACTAGTGAAAGGACAAGCTGTCTGAGCCAGCAGTCTCCAATATGGAGTTTACACACCCCAGGCCCAGTGAACCACTGGGACCAAAAAAAATACAGTATTAGTACTTAGCTTTATGCTAAGACAGATTAATACAGGATCTTATGTATTTTTAAATTTTATGTATATTTTATAATGCAATATATTAACATACTGATAATAGAGATATGTAATTTATAAATATGCATGCTCAATGTTTTGACTGGTAGACTATTCTGGCAAACATGTTTATAGCCTCTGCTCTAAGCATGGGTGTGTCCTGATGGGCAGTTTGTCTTTCCCCAGGGTTTATGTCCCATTGGAAGGGAGAAAAAAGTCAGGTTCCTTCCAGCCCTGTGCTGCAGCTTTGTGTCACTCCTGGGTGATGGAGAAATGGCGAGCTTAAGTCTATGGAAGGAGTGTGTTCTGTGGCCCCACTGTCTTTAAAATGGCACTTGGTACTTTCTATCCAAAAAAGGGCTCCTCCAAGCCAGTCTAGGCTTTTTCCCCACTAGGGAGAATTCTTCACCATGACTTTTCAAATCATTGCTGAAGAAACAAAAAACTGAGCCTGATTCTTGGGCTGACTCCCATGAAGACTCTGCACTCAAAATGCCGTGTTAGATTTCCTGACTTCAAGGTCATGGCCAATAGGCAGTTTGGGTTTTTTTCAATGTCCTGCCTGCCAAGAAAACTGATAATGCTCTTCATATCCTCTGGCAGTCTATGTTGATTGTAGGAATGGGGTGTGGATTATACATTGTTGGGTACAATTACCTCCTGGAATACAATGCATCTTCTTTTAGACATCCCAGGGAGATAATTTCGACATAATGAAGATCTATAGTAATCAGATAATTACTATCGATTGCTCTTTAGACGTCTTGATGAGGTAATTAGGGCATATGGAAAGAAAGAAGCTGGAACTGATTGATTGGCATGACTGTAATCTCAAAGATTTCTAATTATGTTTCTTTTCTTCTAATGGCTTATAAACAAACATCATTTTAGCTTTAGAATTTGTCAGGTGCCAGGTTCACTGGGAACATCAGCTTTCTCTATTATGCTAACTAGACACCAAACATGATCAACATAAGCTCATTATGCCTTCCTGCTGAAGCAGAAGAAACTGCAATTAACCCTCACTTTTCTTCTTCTTCTCCACTTCCACATGGCTCTATTCTTGTCGTGGAGTGGGGTGTCATGGAGTGGGGTGTGCCACGTTCTGTGAGGAGCGTGTGTGACTCAAGGCTGGATGGGTCTGTATGGCCTACGGGAGACCCTCGGAGCCTGCTGAGCTCAGGCACAGCAGACTAGGGGGACAATGACACAACATATGTGTCAAGGTGTCTGGCTGACTGTGGCTGGGGGCTGGCTGACTGCTCGGGCTCCTGTCACAAGCCATAGCTACTCATCAGCCAGCAACATTAAGTAGCAGGTCAATACTCTCAGGCAGCTGGACCACACACTTGTCTACGTCAGTGTGCTATTGCCTCATCTCTTCCATTAGATACTAACTAGAGGACGCCCTGTCTGAAACCACATTCCACATTATCCTAATATTTTTTTACACCTTATAGGACCTTCGAGCAGCTTGCATGGTTCAGAATAGTTGCCTCACCAAAAGATGACAGATATTAAGAACCACTAACGCAGCATCTTGAAATGAGCTGTTTGCATGTAATCAATGATCGTGGTAGCCACCACACTTACTGCTCTACAAGTGCATGGGTTAGAATTCGTTCAACAAATGCAAGGTGGATGCATTTTTCTGAATATGAGGCAATCTGGTTCCCATGCCTGAAATCCTCCACTGCGACCCACCTGTGCTTGGTACCCTGGTGGGTACCCAATCCATGCATGTTACAGTCTGAATGAACACCTGTGTTCTTGAATTCCCTGCTTTTTATTGAAATAGCACCAAAGAAAAAATTATATTTTGCTTTTTTTCTAAAATCCATATATTCCTGGACCCTTATTTTAAAATGGGTCACAAATTTCCTGTGTATTTGTACCATTAAAACTTTTAAGGCATGAGAGGAGTAACGTGCATAGGGATGGTTCAGACAGCAGAGGAGACCCAAGATAGTTTGTTCATTGATAACTAATGGTTTGCTGCTGTTTGGATAATTACAGCTGCAGTTGGAAATGCTTCATTAACTCCCATTAACTAGCCTGAGAAATGGAAGTATATATAGAATCTGTCTTTATGTTGTATCTGTATAGTATAAGAAAATTATGTAGCAAATTTTTTCATCAGCCACAATTCTCGAGAAACAAAAATATTCTTTTGAAAATGTAATTGGAGTAACTGTTTAGTTCAATATTTGGTGTTTAAAAACCTTCCTAATCTGTATCGGAATATTTTCCTTTAATAGAATATATAATTAGCATATTCTAATTTTTTTAATAATTGGGAATTATGCATAAATCATTTTAAGCAAACTTTTTATATTTTTATTTCTGTACTTGAAGTAACTATAAGAGATTGAACTAAATGTCTAAAACAGGTTCTAATTTTTTATTTGTTGTTTGGTTTTATCAAGTCCAAGGAATGAGTATCTCTTCTAGTTATTTGTCCCTTTTTGTAAAAGTTAATTGAAAATCTACTTTCTTATCAATCAGTTTGTCTACATTTCTACCTATTTTTTCTTTAATTTATGGCTCTCTGGTTTTGAGTTCTGATGTTATTCCCCCATATTTGATAAATACTCCACTCATCAGTCGGTAAAGGGCAAACTGTATGAAATTGCTCCTCAACAGTGTGATGTAGACTGCCAAAACATAGTTTGTTATTAGGGTCTGGTCCCATACAAAATGGGAGGGGCTTTAGTTAGTTTAGTTAGAGGGTCTCGAGGCTGCAAAAGTGGGTGTTCAAGGTGTTGCACAAGTTCCGCCTGCCATTCAGGAGGCAGTAAAGAAACTTATTCAATGAGAGAGCTGACAGAAGTGATCCAAATCAATAACGTGCTTTGGGTTTGGGGCATGTCATTATAGGAAATTTTACATCTTGAGAGACAGATGGGAGGACAGCTCCTAGAAGAACCTAAGGCTCTTCATTTTAAAGGCAGCACCCACAACCTGCGCCTGTCAATTCACGATATCGCCCATTCCCTCTGGAAGAGCAAATTGCTGGCTAAATATCAGGTAAGGTTCCCAAGCCGAACAAAAGGTCTGGAGACATCTCTAAGAAAGAGGTCTAAAATTATATAGACATAGGAAATCCCCTTCCTTGAAATTAATCATATGTCATTACTTGTTTCTCCAAAATAGTTTGGGGTTATTTAGGATTTTTGAGAAACACAGACATATTTGAGGGAATGCTTTTTAAAAATTCTTCCTTTAAATAAATGTACTATCATTGTTTTATTTTTAATAAATGAAAGGCTTCCAAATCCATCATTTCAATTAATTTTCATACTAAATGTTCACATCAATGGGTAAAAACAGCTTGAAATGCATTCACAGAAACAAACAGAAGGACATTTTTATTCCATGGGACACAAATTAGGCTTCAGCCTTCCTAGGCCAGTACCCTTACATTGAAAAATTAGAGGGAGCCCTACTTTGGAGAACTGAAATAGCATGTAAAAGTAAAACCCAATCAGGATATTATTAAACAAGAGACAAGAAAATACTGGTCCCAAGTGTCATTTGTATATACCTGGGGGAAAATCACATGACCCTCAAGGAATTTTCCCCTCCTTCATCCGTCAGCCTGAGCTCTTGAGAAAACCACTTTGGCGGGATTGCAAGCCTCATATGCCATCCTAGGAGGGGCAGACATATTTAGAGAGCTGTGAATCCATGTTGATATTTATGCAAATTCAACCCAAACCCCAGCATTGCCTCTGAACTGGTAGCTATTTCCTGATGTAAGCCAATGAACATACTGGAAGACTGATGGGAAGACATTCTGGCTCCATTCTCACTCTCATTGGTCTAGTTCCTACACATAAATTATGGGAAACAAGCCTACTGGTTTGTTAACAATCATGAGCTTTGACGGAGGTTGCATGCCAGACTCTCTATGCACAGCTCAGTCCTTGATGGAGACAGAAGGCTTCTGACTTACTCAGTATACCTCTTTCTTTGCTTTCTTCTTTCCTCTGTGTTGCAGTTGTCATAAAATACTATAAATCTCCCTGTTTTAGGAGTAATTTCTTTTATACAATTATAAGAAAATACTATTTTAATGATAATGATAATATGATATTAGTTAAAGCTAAGCCTGGCCGAATGCTTACCATCTGCTGGACACTCTCTTCATACATTGGTTTAGCTCATTTAACCCCAGCAGACCTACGAATGAGAAGCTCTTTGTTTACTCTTTTGCAGATAGGAAAACTGAGCAATGGAAAGATTAAGTAATTTGCCCCAGGTTATCAAGTAAGCGAAATAAGGGGTTCTTATTTGTACTGGATTTGGCTCCGAAGCCACTGCTTTTTACAGCCATGCTCTCCCATTTTTTATGTGGCAACCTTTTCTTTCCTTTATTGAAAACAGATTCTAGGATAGGCTCTGTAAGGTGGTCTAGACTTTTAGAAAATTAAAGCCTGTTCGATGCTTGGTGCCAAGAACTTTTCTGTGGCAGCTAATTGAGTCTGAAGTTTCCAACTGTAGTGGGTTTTGGCTTCCCCTGTCCTGGGCAGAGGAGGATGTAAAGCATGAAAGGGAGCCACATCAGTGCAGTATCCTTTAGACTTTCTTTGCTTTTCTCCAGAATGTCACGACAGGGATTCTATTAATGAGCAATGGCTGGTGTGTGCAAGTTTTATTTTGGGAATTGTATAAACTCTTTTTTTTTTTTAATCATTTACAATGGTTCCTGTTGTTGTAAATTAGAGACATGTGGCAGACTGGTTAGGTACATGGATTCTGGAGGCTGACTCCTTAGGTTCAAATCTCAGCCCTGCTACTTACTTGCTGTGTGATTTGGGGTAAGTTATTGAACCTCTCTGGCCCTCAAGTTTTTCATGTGATAAGGGTCCAGGATGTACTTAAACATAGGGCTGTTGTGAGGATTAAATGAGGCCACAGGTGTGATACTCAGAGTACCTGGCAGCAGACCATCTGAGAGTTATTTTTGGTATTAGTCCTTCAATTGTGGTTAACACTTTCATATCCTTTAGGAAATTCCATTTTACCATGTTTGGAGTGGATCTCAAAGAAACCTGCACTGCACCTTCACTCTGGAAAGATTTAGCCTGAACACAGTGGAGCTGGTTTGCAAACTCTGTGTGCGGCAGGTGGAAGGAGAAGGGCAGATCTTCCAGCTCAACTGCACCGTGTCAGAGGTAAGTGGCTCCTGTCTGTCTGAAATCAGGGGAGAGTGCGACACTCAGGAAGACAGAGTGTGTGGGCTAAAAGGGTATCTCAACATAGTCCATATGGGAAGTCCTCAAAAGCTTTCTATAGATCCTATTTGTTAATAGAATAATATTTGTAATGAGCAATGGAAGCTAGCTGCAGAAAAAAATATATATATATTAAGGGATCCTTTTTGAAAAACAAGTCTTAATTTTTATGACATGAATTTTAAGAATTATGTTCTAACTTGTAAAAACAGATCTGAATTTCAAGTAAAGGTTTAATTTAAGGAGCGTGCACATGGAGTAACTTCTCCCCATGCATCCCTTAGCGTGCCATGTTCCCCCATCCTCCATCTGTCTCTCCTCCCTTTCTGCTTCTTTCTCAGCAACTCTCCTCCCTTTCCCCTAATCACCTGCTGCTGGGTGGAGTGGAAGAAAGGAGAGGGGCTTCTCTGCTCCCTTTTTCTTCTTCTCCATTCAAAGGAAGAAAGGAGAAATCTCTTGATCTCCTTTCTCTCTATCATTCTCTAAATATAAAGAGAGATACACTTTCCTCCGGGATGGGGGAAATATGCCACAAATAGAAGTAGAATCTCCGTATTTCCCCCCTGTGGCCATCAGCTTTGCCTTCCTTTGCTGTGATCTTCACACACTTCAGTTGGCTATTTCCCTGTGTCCATATTACAGAAATAATAGTGATCACTGCTATCTAAAACTTCTCCTTAAGGAAAGAGGAAGTGCCCATGACCTTCCTTATCTGTTACCTTGGATCCAAAGCCTTGAAAATTGATAACCCTTCACACCAGAGGAACAAAGGGAAGAGAAGAAGCCAAAAGGGCAGAAGGCAGCCTCTTTGGGGCCTCATGGAGCTAAGCCCTGTGCTGCGTGCTAAGCCACAAAGCACAAGATTGTCATATGTGAAAATGACAGCGGGCCAGTATATGATTTAAAATACTACCTCTCCCTCGTTGTGTCATGCACAGTGACGAATGCAATGTCAGCATGTTCAGCTTGTCTTGCTTCACATGTCATATTTAAAGACCATCTTCCTTAGCAAACCGAGTGGGGAGAAAAGCACATCAGCTTCCGCTACACTCCATCCTTCTTTCTTTCCCACAGCCTGCCGAGGTGCGGTCATCATTTCCTCCTGTAGTTTCATGAGACTTTTGACTCATAAACAACTTTAGTCACAGCCCCCGGTGACATTCATAAGGAATGATCTCGGTGTCAGGGTGCCATGGCAACCGCCAGGCCTTCGGATGCGCAGCCCTATCTCCCAGGCACACAGCACCACCCCTGCTGGCTCGGGAGGGTGTTTTCACTTTCCAGGCCCAGCAGGTCTGCAAAGTTCAATAACCACCCAGCTCCAGTGACAACAAAGGCTGCGGAATTTTGGAGGGGGGTGAGGGGGTCTGGTCCTTTGATGCTTGCTTTCTGTTCCACATGAACATTGGCTGCGTGTTAAAAAGGTGGATCAGATGCAGCCACAAATGAAAGAGAGCTGCTCTGTGCTCTCCCGCGCCAGGGCTGCCACCTCCCTTCAGAAAAAGGACAGTTTTGCATAGTGTGATCACAATTTAAGGGCTTTTGCTTTCTTATGGCAACACAGAGGAAAGATTACTTCTTTTGCAACACGGTGTCAGTCTGCTCAAAGAGACCAGCCTTCAGTCATGTCAGAGGCATCTGCCCTTGTGTGACAGACAAGCATATTTAACTGAGGGCGGGGAAGAAGTGAGGGGAGTCAAGATGACTTTGGGGGATTAAGGGGCACTCTGCGGCTTTTCCTTCTGGGTCACTGAATCCCACTGTTGTGGTTAGCATTTGAATGCGGGTGCTGGGTGCGCAGAGGAGGGAGTGTGGATGGGTGTACTGATGTTGGAGAGGAAGCCTCTGCGCTGAAGAACAATGGACTCTGTAGAGTTATGGGACCCAGATCCTCAACAAAACCTTCAAGAAAGGGTACAAGATGATTGACAAACCATAAACAAGTAGAGAAAAGGCTCCATTTGTGGTTTCTTTCTTCTGAACAGGGCTCCTTCCTAGGGTCACAGGGCAAGATGGCAATGAGGCTGGGGTTCCCGTTCCAATGTCCTATCTCCCAGGAATGAGCTGGCTTGCCAGAAATGTGCTGCCCCTCCCTCCAGCCACCCACCACCGGACGCACTCACCAGTCGTCATTTATAAAGCTACACAGCCCTTGGCCTGTCCTGTCAGACAGAGGACCTGTTGCCCACCCCAGAGACCAGGCTGTGCGTGACATGTACTCTGATTATTTCAAGGGCCAGCCAGTTGTCTCTGGGTGATTTAGCCAGGGATTCCTTAACTAGAGACAAAGGCTTTAATTAATTTCACAGAGATGAAGTTTAAGAAGGAAAATGTCTGGAAGACTAACTAACTGTATTGACACAAATGAATGTCAAAATGTAAAAGATGATAAAAGATTTTGTTTGTTGGTTTCATAGACAAGTGCAGAGAGAGTAACCAGGAAGCTACTCATTATCTCCAAAAGAAAAGAAAACATGGTGCAGAGGACAGATGATAAATTTACAGTTTTTTCACATCTTCTATTTTGTTTCAGTTACAGGCAGACATCCATCATGGGAAATTCCCAAGTAGGCTGTTCCATGGAGATAGATAGGGCCAATTACTTAATCCTTTCTTGCCTCAGTTTCCCCATTGTAAATTGGTATAGAATATTATCTTGGGCCAGTGTGGGAATTAAATGGGAGAATGTTTGTTAGTAAGTAAGTGTTCTAAACAGAACTTGGCCCAGAGCACATGCTTAATCTATGTTCACCATTTTTACTGGTGCCACTGATGCCATAAGGATAACAGGGCTTTTGAGTCAACTTTGCTACTTCAATCCGTGGGGGGGGTCTGTCATCAATTGAGGTTTCAGATTTTCTTTCTATCATCAATCAAAATAAACACAAAAATAAAACTCAGATCCTATATAAATAAATGAAAACTAAATATAAACAAAAATTAGCTCCCAGAGAAAAGAAGGTAGCATGTATCCCCAAGTTGGTTTATCACATTGCTTTACTTGAAAGCTCTGAACCCTGAAAAAAGGTGCAGTTTTAGGGGGCAGTATTTATTAGTCAGTCATCTTTTTCTTTTTTTTTTTTTTTTTTTGAGAAGGAGTCTTGCTCTGTGGCCCAGGCTGGAGTGCAGTGGCACGACTTCAGCTCACTGCAACCTCCGCCTCCTGGGTTCAAACAATTCTCCTGCCTCAGCCTCCTGAGTAGCTGGGATCACAGGCATATGCCACCACACCCAGCTGATTTTTGTATTGTTAGTAGAGACAGGGTTTCACCACGTTGGCTAGGCTGGTCTCGAACTCCTGAGCTCAGGTCATCCACCCACCTCAGCCTCCCAAAGTGCTGGGATTATAGGCGTGAGCCACCACGCCCGTTCTCATCTACTTTACTTTAATAATAGATTTATAGGTAATAAAAGCAATTATAATTAAGTTTTATATTTGCTAGATCTTATAACCTCTTAAGTTGTGGTGCACAGCACTTCTGTATACACAAATAATATTTATTTAAAATAAATGTACAAAGTAATATCACTCTGCTACAGCCATTTCATCTGTTTACATCTTCTGCTTTCCATAACCTGCTCAAAATGACCATTGGGAAAATCTAGTTTTTCTAAGCGACTTTAGGAAAAGTCCAAATATCAGAATAGAAAGTTGTTTCAGGACTGTGGAGTCCTGAATATGTGTGTCATCACCCATAGCAGCTGTTTGACTAATGTTGAAAAATCATATGTTTACATAAGGGAATCATAACATCAAAGACCAATGGTACTGATATTATAAATGATTATTGAAATAAGCATTCTGTGAGAGTAAACTCTACTTTTACCTGGAAGTAAAGGAAGAACTAATAGCAACTAAAATTACTAGATGAAATGTAAATGTATAAACGTATTTTACTTTAACTTTCAAGGCTGTTGTCAGCCATTTGATAAGAGAAAGAAACAAAGAAATGATGCCCTATTGAGCTTGTTTCATCTACACAGAAATAAATAGGCTGAGTGAGTAGCCAGGGATAGAGAGCTCAGGACTTCAATGCCCACATGAAATGCTGAGGAGAGTTCTTTATCCACAAGAAAATGGGGACAACATGAATATGTGAGCACGCCTTCCCAAGATCCATGCCTATCTATCTTCAACTGGCCTCTCATTTCAGGATTTAACTTCCACATTTAGTTGGAAGGCAGCTCAACACCCTAGTCTATGGGTGGGCTTCTATCAGAGGTTGGCTTCATCTTCTTTCTGTACTAAGGACAAATATTTTCTCTCATTTCAACAAACAAACATTAATTGAGTAGCTTCTTGTGTGTGGGGCACAGTGTTATCATAGAGGTCTGAGGATGATTGATTGATTGATATACTCTCACCAAAAAGAAAGAAATGTGAGAAATAAAAGGCAGTAACCTACAAATACAGCCAATGTGCACAGAGCAGAGTGTGAGGAGCACAGAAGAGCTGGGAGGCACCGAGGAGACCTCCAGGCCTGACGCCTAGGGTATGCTCGCCCAGGGGGGCCCCAGGGCACAGGACTTTTGGACCAGGCTTTGAGGACTTTGCCTGACAGAGATCAAAGAAAAGAAAGAGCAGAATAACTATTAGAGGTGCATCCTTAGAAATGGCATGAGAACTAGTGAGTGGTGCTCAGACTCTAAGGAGCCTATGAGTCAGGTCAAGTCACGGTAAGGACGGGGCAACCTGAGATTAGATTGTGAAGTGGTGGAAGCACAGGTGAACAGCCCTACTCCATGTCCGACTGCATTCTGCACTTCACATGGTCACCTTGCAGCCTCATACCAGCCAACCAGGAAGGTCATATAAAGATCCCTCACTGGGCCAGGTATGGTGGCTCACACCTGTAATCCCATGACTTTGGGAGGCTGAGCTAGGAGGATCACTTGAGCCTAGGAGTTTGAGACCAATCTGGACAACACAGTGAGACCCCATCATCTCTTAAAAAAAAAAAAGGCAAATTAGCCCAGTGTGATGGTGCACACCGATAGTCTCAGCTATTTGGGAGACTGAGGTGGGAGGATCGCTTGAGCCCAAGAATTCAAGGCTGCAGCAAGCTATGATCACACCATGGCACTCCAGCCTGGGTGACAGAGAAGTGTCAAATGCCCCTCCTACCACATGAAGACCTTGTCTCTAAATACATATATATATGTATTTGAGGACAAATACCATGATCACAGCCAACAGCACTGTGCATACCATGGCAAAAGATTTCAAATGCCCTCCACACCCCTGGATTGACCCTGTTCCATGGGATTGCATAAGCCTAGAAGTGAGCACTTGCTGCTGATCGCAGAATGTGGAACATACTGCTAATCAACACTGGCACACAGGCAGTTGCAACCTCACCGCCTGCAGTGCCAGTGCATTCACGGCTGGGGAGGCCACTGAAGCGGTGCAGGGCAGCATATGGGGGGCGCTCTGGGTGATGATGGTGGTGTTGAGCCCCTGAGCTGAGCACTCAGCAGGAACCAAACACTTCATGATGGCTGAAACTGGGTGTGGCCAGTTAGTTCATCCTCTGGCAACTAGTGAGGAACACCAACAAGTTACGTGCTTTAAAAAGAGAGAGACAGCCGAATAGGAACAGCTCCAGTCTACAGCTCCCAGTGTGAGCGACGCATAAGATGGGTGATTTCTGCATTTCCATCTGAGGTACCGGGTTCATCTCACTAGGGAGTGCCAGACAGTGGGCGCAGGTCAGTGGGTGCGCGCACCGTGCGTGAGCCGAAGGAGGGCAAGGCATTGCCTCACTCGGGAAGTGCAAGGGGTCAGGGAGTTCCCTTTCCTAGTCAAAGAAAGGGGTGACAGACGGCACCTGGAAAATCGGGTCACTCCCCCCCAAGTACTGCGCTTTTCCCACGGGCTTAAAAAACGGCACACCAGGAGATTATATCCCGCACCTGGCTCGGAGGGTCCTACGCCCACAGAGTCTCGCTGATTGCTAGCACAGCAGTCTGAGATCAAACTGCAAGGCGGCAGCGAGGCTGGGGGAGGGGCCCCCGCCATTGCCCAGACTTGCTTAGGTAAACAAAGCAGCCAGGAAGCTCGAACTGGGTGGAGCCCACCACAGCTCAAGGAGGCCTGCCTGCCTCTGCAGGCTCCACCTCTGGGGGCAGGGCACAGACAAACAAAAAGACAGCAGTAACCTCTGCAGACTTAAATGTCCCTGTCAGACAGCTTTGAAGAGAGCAGTGGTTCTCCCAGCACGCAGCTGGAGATCTGAGAACGGGCAGACTGCCTCCTCAAGTGGGTCCCTGACCCCTACCCCTGAGCAGCCTAACTGGGAGGCACCCCCCAGCAGGGGCAGACTGACACCTCACACGGCCAGGTATTCCAACAGACCTGCAGCTGAGGGTCCTGTCTGTTAGAAGGAAAACTAACAAACAGAAAGGACATCCACACCAAAAACCCATCTGTACATCACCATCATCAAAGACCAAAAGTAGATAAAACCACAAAGATGGGGAAAAAACAGAGCAGAAAAACTGGAAACTCTAAAAAGCAGAGCGCCTCTCCTCCTCCAAAGGAACGCAGTTCCTCACCAGCAATGGAACAAAGCTGGACAGGGAATGACCTTGACGAGCTGAGAGAGGAAGGCTTCAGATGATCAAATTACTCCGAGCTATGGGAGGAAATTCAAACCAAAGGCAAAGAAGTTGAAAACTTTGAAAAAAATTTAGAAGAATGTATAACTAGAATAACCAATACAGAGAAGTGCTTAAAGGAGCTGATGGAGCTGAAAACCAAGGCTCAAGAACTACGTGAAGAATGCAGAAGCCTCAGGAGCCAATGCGATCAACTGGAAGAAAGGGTATCAGCGATGGAAGATGAAGTGAATGAAATGAAGCGAGAAGGAAGTTTAGAGAAAAAAGAATAAAAAGAAATGAGCAAAGCCTCCAAGAAATATGGGACTATGTGGAAAGACCAAATCTACATCTGATTGGTGTACCTGAAAGTGATGGGGAGAATGGAACCAAGTTGGAAAACACTCTGCAGGATATTATCCAGGAGAACTTCCCCAGTCTAGCAAGGCAGGCCAACACTCAGATTCAGGAAATACAGAGAATGCCACAAAGATACTCCTCAAGAAGAGAAAGTCCAAGACACATAATTGTCAGATTCACCAAAGTTGAAATGAAGGAAAAAATGTTAAGGGCAGCCAGAGAGAAAGGTCGGGTTACCCACAAAGGGAAGCCCATCAGACTAACACCTGATCTCTCAGCAGAAACTCTACAAGCCAGAAGGGAGTGGGGGCCAATATTCAACATTCTTAAAGAAAAGAATTTTCAACCCAGAATTTCATATCCAGCCAAACTAAGCTTCATAAGTGAAGGAGAAATAAAATACTTTACAGACAAGCAAATGCTGAGAGATTTTGTCACCACCAGGCCTGCCCTAAAAGAGCTCCTGAAGGAAGCACTAAACATGGAAAGGAACAACCGGTACCAGCCACTGCAAAATCATGCCAAAATGTAAAGACCATTGAGACTAGGAAGAAACTGCATCAACTAACGAGCAAAATAACCAGCTAACATCATAATGACAGGCTCAAATTCACACATAACAATATTAACTTTAAATGTAAATGGACTAAATGCTCCAATTAAAAGACACAGACTGGCAAATTGGATAAAGAGTCAAGACCCATCAGTGTGCTGTATTCAGGAAACCCATCTCACGTGCAGAGACACACATAGGCTCAAAATAAAAGGATGGAGGAAGACCTACCAAGCAAATAGAAAACAAAAAAAGGCAGGGGTTGCAATCCTAGTCTCTGATAAAACAGACTTTAAACCAACAAAGATCAAAAAAGACAAAGAAGGCCATTACATAATGGTAAAGGGATCAATTCAACAAGAAGAGTTAACTATCCTAAATATATATGCACCCAATACAGGAGCACCCAGATTCATAAAGCAAGTCCTGAGTGACCTACAAAGAGACTTAGACTCCCACACATTAATAATGGGAGATTTTAACACCCCACTGTCAACATCAGACAGATCAATGAGACAGAAAGTCAACAAGGATACCCAGGAATTGAACTCAGCTCTGCACCAAGCAGACCTAATAGACATCTACAGAACTCTCCACCCCAAATCAACAGAATATACATTTTTTTCAGCACCACACCACACCTATTCCAAAATTGACCACATACTTGGAAGTAAAGCTCTCCTCAGCAAATGTAAATGAACAGAAATTATAACAAACTATCTCTCAGACCACAGTGCAATCAAACTAGAACTCAGGATTAAGAATCTCACTCAAAACCGCTCAACTACATAGAAACTGAACAACCTGCTCCTGAATGACTACTGGGTAAATAACAAAATGAAGGCAGAAATAAAGATGTTCTTTGAAACCAACGAGAACAAAGACACAACATACCAGAATCTCTGGGACCCATTCAAAGCAGTGTGTAGAGGGAAATTTATAGCACTTTAATGCCCACAAGAGAAAGCAGGAAAGATCCAAAATTGACACCCTAACATCACAATTAAAAGAACTAGAAAAGCAAGAGCAAACACATTCAAAAGCTAGCAGAAGGCAAGAAATAACTAAAATCAGAGCAGAACTGAAGGAAATAGAGACACAAAAAACCCTTCAAAAAATTAATGAATCCAGTAGCTGGTTTTTTTAAAGGATCCATAAAATTGATAGACTGCTAGCAAGACTAATAAAGAAAAAAAGAGAGAAGAATCAAATAGACGCAATAAAAAATGATAAAGGGGATATCACCAATGATCCCACAGAAATACAAACTACCAGCAGAGAATACTACAAACACCTCTATGCAAATAAACTAGAAAATCTAGAAGAAATGGATAAATTCCTCAACACATACACTCTCCCAAGACTAAACCAGGAAGAAGTTGAATCTCTGAATAGACCAATAACAGGAGCTGAAATTGTGGCAATAATCAATAGCTTACCAACCAAAAAGAGTCCAGGACCAGATGGATTCACAGCCGAATTCTACCAGAGGTACAAGGAGGAGCTGCTACCATTCCTTCTGAAACTATTCCAATCAATAGAAAAAGAGGGAATCCTCCCTAACTGATTTTATGAGGCTAGCATCATCCTGATACCAAAGGCTGGCAGAGACACAACCAAAAAAGAGAATTTTAGACCAATATCCTTGATGAACATTGATGCAAAAATCCTCAATAAAATACTGGCAAACCGAATCCAGCAGCACATCAAAAAGCTTATCCACCATGATCAAGTGGGCTTCATCCCTGGGATGCAAGGCTGGTTCAATATACGCAAATCAATAAATGTAATCCAGCATATAAACAGAACCAAAGACAAAAACCACATGATTATCTCAATAGATGCAGAAAAGGCCTTTGACAAAATTCAACAACCCTTCATGCTGAAAACTCTCAATAAATTAGGTATTGATGGGACGTATCTCAAAATAATAAGAGCTATCTATGACAAACCCACAGCCAATATCATACTGAATGGGCAAAAACTGGAAGCATTCCCTTTGAAAACTGGCACAAGACAGGGATGCCCTCTCTCACCACTCCTATTCAACATAGTGTTGGAAGTTCTGGCCAGGGCAATTAGGCAGGAGAAGGAAATAAAGGGTATTCAGTTAGGAAAAGAGGAAGTCAAATTGTCCCTGTTTGCAGATGACATGATTGTATATCTAGAAAACCCCATCGTCTCAGTCCAAAATCTCCTTAAGCTGATAAGCAACTTCAGCAAAGTCTCAGGATACAAAATCAATGTACAAAAATCACAAGCATTCTTATACACCAATAACAGACAAACAGAGGGCCAAATCATGAGTGAACTCCCATTCACAATTGCTTCAAAGAGAATAAAATACTTAGGAATCCAACTTACGAGGGACATGAAGGACCTCTTCAAGGAGAACTACAAACCACTGCTCAAGGAAATAAAAGAGGATACAAACAAATGGAACAACATTCCATGCTCATGGGTAGGAAGAATCAATATCGTGAAAATGGCCATACTGCCCAAGGTAATCTATAGATTCAATGCCATCCCCATCAAGCTACCAATGACTTTCTTCACAGAATTGGAAAAAACTACTTTCAAGTTCATATGGAACCAAAAAAGAGCCCGCATTGCCAAGTCAATCCTAAGCCAAAAGAACAAAGCTGGAGGCATCACACTACCTGACTTCAAACTATACTACAAGGCTACAGTAACCAAAACAGCATGGTACTGGTACCAAAACAGAGATATAGACCAATGGAACAGAACAGAGCCCTCAGAAATAACGCCGCATATCTACAACTATCTGATCTTTGACTAACCTGAGAAAAACAAGCAATGGGGAAATGATTCCCTATTTAATAAATGGTGCTGAGGAAACTGCCTAACCATATGTAGAAAGCTGAAACTGGATCTCTTCCTTACACCTTATACAAAAATCAATTCGAGATGGATTAAAGACATAAACGTTAGACCTAAAACCATAAAAACCCTAGAAGAAAACCTAGGCATTACCATTCAGGACATAGGCATGGGCAAGGACTTCATGTCTAAAACACCAAAAGCAATGGCAACCAAAGCCAAAATTGACAAATGGGATCTCATTAAAATAAAGAGCTTCTGCACAGCAAAAGAAACTACCATCAGAGTCAACAGGCAACCTACAAAATGGGAGAAAATTTTCGCAACCTACTCATCTGACAAAGGGCTAATATCCAGAATCTACAATGAACTCAAACAAATTTACAAGAAAAAAACAAACAACCCCATCAAAAAGTGGGCGAAGGACATGAACAGACACTTCTCAAAAGAAGACATTTATGCAGCCAAAAAACACATGAAAAAATGCTCACCATCACTGGCCATCAGAGAAATGCAAATCAAAACCACAATGAGATACCATCTCACACCAGTTAGAATGGCAATCATTAAAAAGTCAGGAAACGACAGGTGCTAGAGAGGATGTGGAGAAACAGGAACACTTTTACACTGTTGGTGGGACTGTAAACTAGTTCAACCATTGTGGAAGTCAGTGTGGCGACTCCTCAGGGATCTAGAACTAGAAATACCATTTGACCCAGCCATCCCATTACTGGGTATATACCCAAAGGACTATAAATCATGCTGCTATAAAGACACATGCACACGTATGTTTACTGCGGCACTATTCACAATAGCAAAGACTTGGAACCAACCCAAATGTCCAACAATGATAGACTGGATTAAGAAAATGTGGCACATATACACCATGGAATACTATGCAGCCATGAAAAAGGATGAGTTCATGTCCTTTGTAGGGACATGGGTGAAATTGGAAATCATCATTCTCAGTAAACTATCACAAGAACAAAAAACCAAACACTGCATATTCTCACTCACGGGGGAATTGAACAATGAGAACACATGGACACAGGAAGGGGAACATCACACTCTGGGGACTGTTGTGGGGTAGGGGGAGGTGGGAGGGGGGAGGGATAGCATTGGGAGATATACCTAATGCTAGATGATGAGTTAGTGGGTGCAGCGCACCAGCATGGCACGTGTATACATATGTAACTAACCTGCACATTGTGCACATGTACCCTAAAACTTAAAGTATAATAATAATAAATAAATAAAAAAGAAAAAAAAAATAGAGAGAGATGGCATTTATAGTAGATTAAGTAGATTTTCTTTTATTGCTTTAATAGTTCCCAGGCACCATTTGCTTTTGCTTTTCCAACCAGCACAAGTGATCAGAAAATGATTAGAATTTCTCCTGCAGATGAAATTCAGATTTTGCATTTGTGCTGTTTTATGAGCTGAGACTATCTTAAGAGCCAATTTATGGTTTTCTCTACTAAAATTAGATTTTTAAAAAATAAGGATATACAGCAATTGGAGGATGCCATTAACAACTTGCCCTAAGGCAATAATATACTGTGTTTACCATTTTCTTTTTTAAGAAATTAGCCTTAAGTTGATATCATTTAGAGGAGAGCTATGTTCCAGTTCATTCAACAAAAGCAGAACTGAGACATCTTCTGTGGAGTTTAGCAGAACTACTGGAGCATTTGCCCAGGACTTTCTCCTCAAGGTCAGGCTGTTTCCAGAAGCCTTGAATCTCAGATCTATTCATTCCCAAAGCACTGCCCTTTTGAACATTTTCCTCTCCTGAAATTTAAACCTTTAGGAGCTCTGATATTCCCTCTCTTCTCTCTCAGCCTGGAGAATCCCATTAGTAAAGCTGTTATCGAATCACACCAGAGCTTTCCATCCAGCCCAGTCCTCACCAAAGACTCACAAATCTGAGGCTATGCAAAGTTAGCTCAAAATGTATGTACCTCTATCTCTGAGCCAGGTTACATCTAGTGATGCACAACTTTCAGGCTAAGAAGAAGCCATTCTTCCTAAGAAGAATAACAGCATTCATTCTTTTCTTATCACTCAAAGCAAGGCATTATGTTGATTGGTTCAATAGAGATTGCTTTTGTCCTCAGAAATAATGCTGTGTTGTTCCTGTCCCTGAACTACAGGAACCTACTGGCATCGATTTGCCGCTGCTGGATCCTGCGAACACCATCACCACGGTCACGGGGCCCAGTGCTTTCAGCATCCCTCTCCCTATCCGGCAGAAGCTCTGTAGCAGCCTGGATGCCCCCCAGACGAGAGGCCATGACTGGAGGATGCTGGCCCATAAGCTGAACCTGGACAGGTGGGTATGGTCTGGCCCCAAGACTAGCTTCTTTCTGTTAGTGCCCTCCAGGACCGATAACTATTAGACGTAGGGTTAGCTTCATTTTTTTTTCCATCCACACATCTATTTAATTTTTCATTTTGCAAATATGCATTAAGCTCTGTCCTTGTACCTTGCACTACGGGCTTGCAAAGAGTGCTAAGAGACATTCTGAGCTTATCTGGCATTGGTAAGTATCAAGTTTTGTGATGCACTTTGCCAAGCTGATGGGCTAAATTCCCCAAATCATATAGCCATTCACTACCGTAGTTATTGCTCCTCCTCTGCAGTTGAGCAGGACCTAATGTTTGATTAATAATTAGCATGCCAACACAGCACTGATATTAAGTTATAAAGAGACCTCTGGAGCGTCTACTTTGTGGAGTGTCACCGTCACTACCAAACATAACATGTGGCATGACCTGTCAAAGATCATCCAAGCCTGGACTAGAAAGAAAACATAAGTCTCTTGATTTCCTGTTTAGAATATGACCCATAGACATCTTGTCTCTTAAATTATCTCACTCAGAGCTGAGGTTCACAAAGTTAAACATCACATCCCCTGTCTGGGGCTGATCTAATTAAGCATGGGCTAGTTATTTAGGATGGCTCACTGTCAGCCACAATGGGACCAGGAAACTTAAAGACAAGTAGAGAGACAGAAAGGTTTAGCTGAGGAAAAATAGATATGTAAGTCACACTGTTGAGCACATTTTCTCTTTCCCAATTACAGGTACTTGAATTACTTTGCCACCAAATCCAGCCCAACTGGCGTAATCCTGGATCTTTGGGAAGCACAGAACTTCCCAGATGGAAACCTGAGCATGCTGGCAGCTGTCTTGGAAGAAATGGGAAGACATGAAACGGTGGTGTCCTTAGCAGCAGAAGGGCAGTATTAACCACCATGCTGGAAGGGGAAATGAAGGACAAAAATGCACAGGGAGTCTGTGGCCGTCCAGGTGAATCACAGCTGAGGAGGAAATCCAGATGAGACCAATGCACTTCACAGGCAAGACTGCAGCAGGAGCCAGAAGGAAAACAGATACAACTGCCCATGTACATGCCCACTTTACTCGGACATCATCACGGGAGTTAAGAAAAATTGTGTAAATTTGTACCTTGAATTTAGCTATCAACCTAATTTTCCTCTTAGTTGGGCTGTATGCTGTGTGGTACAGGATCTTACAGTTTCCTAGGAAACGCTTTTTATTGCTATCCAGATATATGGATAAACTTTCTTAACAAACCCAATTTCTACAAATGTTGTTTACATCAAATTGGACAGGGATGCAGACACTGTCCATGGCTCGTTCTATTTTTGTTCAAATCATTTGAAGTTGAAGCTGTGGACGGTTTGTTGTGTCTATTTCAGATTAGTAATTTACAGAGAAATCACAGACTTTTGCTACAAATCGTGTGCATCAAGTGTCTCAGATAATCCTCCCATCAGTGTTCTGTTTCTAGAACTTGTAGAACCAGTGTTACTGTTTGTATCAGGGAAGTGGAGAATCTAAGTGTAAAAAAGAAATAACTAAGACTCCTATTCCTTGGAGGGACCCTTCTGGTGCCCTTTGGGAATAAAGCTGTAGCACTGCAGGGAAGACAGTGATTCATGTTCAACCCCACAAACAAGCATTTTTTTCACAACATGTGTGTTTGTTTGTAATATGCAATATGAAGTGTTTTTTTTTAAAGGTATTATTATTATTTACAGGTATTCTGGTAAAATGATTTTTTTAAATTTCTATTTTTGTTAGCAGTGCTGTTTGTTAGTATTTGGTTATTGACTAGACCTGTCCCACCTTTTCACCTATCAAGGTGGGTGTGGTCATCAGTTTAATTCAACATGCATCACTTCCTTGACCTTTTACCTTTCCCTTATTCCACCCCAGAAAGGTGATTGATAAATGCTGAATGGCTTTGTCAGTCTGTTCCTTCAGCTTGCTCAGGCAGGGTCTTTCTTTCTCCTCTGAGGAGTCTTAAGGAGACGTGTTCTCTATTAAGTTCACTTAATATTGCCGTTGTGTGGCCCCACGTCGACTCCCTATGGTGCTCTACTCTAGAGGCAGTGTGGTTGGAGGAATGGACTCTAAACTGGAGATCAAGAAACCAGTTCTCATTGTGGGTCTGTCACTGTCTTGTTGCGCCACCTTGAGAAAGTCATTTAACCACACGACCTCAGTGTCCTCACTAGAAAGTGAAAGGGTGGGATTAGATCATCTCCAAGTTCTGAAATGCTCAACTTCCACCGTGATGCCTCCAGTCTCATTCATCAGTCTGAAGACCACAATGGACTCTGACCTGGATCATCATTTAAAAATCATCAGCTGGTCTTTTGCCCAGGCTATGTTACGCCTTTCAAGTAGTTCTGACAAGGAAGATGATTATTCTAACCAGCATTATGATGTTGTTTGTTTGGCCTGAGTCGCTCTGCATCATTGCATTATGCTGTTCACTGAGAGATGACATCCCTTTATTATCATTTTCTTAGCCTCTCTTGGGATGCCCCTGCCCCCAGCCTTCCTGACTGGTTGCAAATTCTGTTTTTTATTATTGTCTTGGCATCTTGATATCTAGACCACTCCTACAAGTTTATCTGGCAGTAGGAACTTGGTGCATTTTTTTCTACGCTACACCCCCCCACCCTTAATCTTTCTTTGCTGTCATAATATTCAGTAGCATTTATAAAAGCTGTCTAGTTAGCTCTTTAAAAACTTTTGTCCTGCAAAATGTTTGTTAGTCAACACACTACTTTGTGTAAACAACTATTATGTTTCCTTGGGACCATCACAAGCTCTTTAACAAACACAAGGACTCAATTCATTCAGCAGGTGGGGATTAAAGAATCAAAGCCCAGTAGCAAAACCAAAACTGAAGAACAAGCAGACATGTGTATGAATCGGAACCTTTAGAACATGACTGTGGTTTACTTTTAGGCTGGAGGCACACAAGTTGCTGAACAGACTTGAATTATACATGTGCTTCCATCTTTCCATGTTTCCGCTCCTATTTTGGTAGCATCTTGAGATTCCTTGATGCCTCCGCCATCCTCATCCCTGAGGAACTGCTGATACCTTGCTATGGAACCTCTTCTTTCTTTCATGCTTTTTATTCCGTATCTTCTGTTTTGGACATACATACATATATTCTATAAAATCTCTCTCAGCCCACCCCCTGCATTAGGATTTCCATATTTAAAATATTTGTACACTGACTGGGGAAGGGAGAGATTGCACTATAAACAAGTTCAGTGGATGTTTGTAGCAATGAGTAAAACTGTATTCTAAATTAAAAATCAAATATATATACACGCAGTTATACACACACATTTTTTAAAAGGAGGAGGAGGAAAGAGAGCTATTGTCCATTCCTACATTTTGAAATAAACTTGTCAAGATTACGCATCAGTACCAGGGTTGTGGAATCATCTATGGAAATCAAGAACTAGAATCTGAACTGAATGGTCAAAGAAACTTCTATGCCTAGTGAAAACTAGAGGGGAGCAACTATGTAGCTATGAACATGAATCAATTCCATAACTGTTACTAAAAACTTATTTTGACTAAAAAGTCACCAACACAGAACTATTGAACACAAACAGGAATTGTTTGTCTTACTGAAGTCACTGAGAACCCTTGGGGTTCACTTCAGATGCTTTTTTGGTTCAACTTCCCACCACCAGAAAAGGGAAAAGTGATTGATTTCGTGTGTGAGGTACTCATCTGTCAGAACCCTTAATGTTTCCTATTAAGTGAATGACAACTTCCATACATACACTATTTATACCAAATAATTTTCACTACAAATTCTGATTTCCTTCTCCTTTGGAGTAAAGTAATAGCTGTTAGATTGCTTTCAAACTTAGAAGGTCCAGATATAACAGTTCATTTCATAGGAAGCCACTTCATCAACCATTCTATGTGATACATCCTGCTTCTTTCTACACCGCTGGAGAGGCAGTTTGGCTGGTTTCATTTGGATAGAAAAAACTATCATTTGTGCATGCTGCCATCTAGTGGTGTACAACACAATCTAACCTGAGTTTAATATTCACTAGAATGTGTTTGACGAAGGGAATGAAAACCTGTAGAGTTCAAGGACCTTTATGACAAACAGATGTAGGGAAATTTTCACTTCAAATTTATAATTTTCTTATTCTCACTTTTTTTTCATTTGCATCACTCATCTCAATATTAGGTCACTGTGAGCCCAGTACATCAACTCATTCATACACAACATATCTTCAGTTGCTTCTTGTAACAGAACTATGTAAAATCTATATAAAACAGTCTTTGAAGAGTTGTCATTTTTAACACTTATGGTTTTCATTGGGGTTTGTATACTTTAAATCTCCTTTTAGTTCCTTAATATTTATCTTTGGAAATGTAAGAAGTATCTGCTTAGAAAGAAATAAGTCTTATATATGCGAATGGAATACTATGTCTAGGGAAGAGAAAATTGGGGTTGTTAATCAAAGGGAAGAAAGCAGCTTCTTTTCTGCTGAATTTGGGAATCCAAAGGCAGAGGTTTCATCCTGTTTTTATTTTCTTCTTATCACACTCTTTCAAGTTTCCTTAATGTATCTGGAAGGAATAGAAGTTGGATTCAGAATTGATAACTGGCATGGTGATGACAAACCTGTGTAACACCAAGGTTCTCACAGCTAACAGCTGTTTCACAAACGGCATCTTCCAAATGAACAGTCACCTCTGCTATGCAGAAAACCCCCATCCTGCTGTGAGCAAGTTAGGCTCTTCAAGAACTGGACAACTTTTGGGTGAGGTGTTCAATATCAAACTGCATAATCATTAGCCATTTTCATATATACTATTTTATAGATTTAAGTCTCTCAACTATCAAAAAGTAGAGCGATTTTCAGGAGAAAAAAGTCGTGGGGACTGAGTTCAGGACACCCTGAAACTATGCGACCAGTAATTTTTTTAAGGTATTTTTTCCTACAAGTAAGGTATCTGAAAAGTCAACGTTTTGAGGGTGGAATCAAGACTTTTCACTTCTCCTGGCAAAGAGCAACAAGGCTCTTGTCTCGTGTCCTTCTGTGTGTCTCTGTCAGGATCACAGCAGCTGTGCTCTTGGTCTGCTTACTCCTCTGTAATCCACGTATGCAGAAGGGAGTTAATAAGGTGATCACCATCTCCCCAGAATTCAAAGGTCTTTGCCTCTATAAGGTCTGCCCCTATGGGGCCAGGAAAATATAAACCTATATAAGGACTTGCAAGAGAGCATAAAGAAGGTAGAAAAGGTTTACTTGTTGGGTTTTCAAGCCTTCAAGTTGAATGAGTCTTAGCTTTTGCTGGGCAGTTGTTCTGGACAAGTCATCAGTTTCATGTGGAGAACTCAGTGTAAGCCCAAGGCTAATGAATGAGAGGGGTCCCATGGAAACACAGCTGAAATGAAATGGGACTTTATCCATCTTCTTTGAGAATGGAAGAGCTTTTGTGAAGCAGTACATCATTGCTCAAGATAATGGTTGATAAGCATTAGATTTTATAGATCTAATAAGGA
Source organism: Homo sapiens (assembly GCF_000001405.40). Taxonomy (NCBI): domain Eukaryota; kingdom Metazoa; phylum Chordata; class Mammalia; order Primates; family Hominidae; genus Homo; species Homo sapiens. The sequence continues at coordinate 95,164,609 of NC_000004.12, read as the reverse complement.
AAATATTTTATTATCTCAAGTTAACAAAACATTTTTTTACCTCTCGAGTGCCTCATAGGACCAACTATTACTCTTTGGCTTTTATTTTTCTTTTTGTATTATTTTTATATATTCTTTAACCTTGCTGAGCTAGTATTGACTGAAATCTTTAGAACTTTGCCTCTGGGCAATGAAGTAATGTTTCTCTACCCTAAGATATCTATTTGTATAATCTCTGGCTGTAATGATCACTTTGGAAGATTTCCTTTGCATCTCTAATTATTTCTTTTTAATGGAATAAGGCATAAGGGGGAATAAATATATTGTAACCAATGTTATGTAAACCCATATCCATACAGGCCAGGAAAGCCAAATGAAGTCATTTCCAGAATTCTAGTGTGAAAAACCTATTTTTGAAAAGTGGGGAGATGGCTTTGTGTAGAACTGGGTGGGTTTTCTCTGCAGACTAAGTCTAGCCATGAGCTTCCAGATCCTTTAGTTTTATCAGCCTTGTGCTTACCCCATTTTCATAAATGCTACTTTAACAGCCAGTCTTCATAAGTCATGGTTCCTAGGTTTTCCTGTCACCTCATTGTATTCATCTGTGGTAGGATATTAACGGGCTCATTCAACCAAATGTAATGTGTGCCTCAGACCTATTTAGCATGGTTGGGGGGCATCAGCAGGACAAACCAACAGGTACTCCGCAAGTGTACTGGCACAGCAAGCCCACCAATTATTAGCAGCTCTTCATCAGCCTGCTGTCTACTCAGACGCTTGCCTACTGAAGGGACCTGTCCAGAGATCTTCTGGAATCCCAGGTTGGGAATCTCTGCAGAATGTCGTGACAGTTGTGGCCCAACTAGCTTCTGAGTAGAAACAAGGAAGCTACCCTGAGATATAGTCAGCTGCCCACCTGCCATAGTATTTGCTACTGAATGCCAGCCTTTTAACATACCATTTCAGATTTGTCCTTCAACAAAAATATAAATTGCAAGTCATACCATTTAAGGGTCTTTTACAAATATGTCTAAATTGTGTGTCATTTTTAAGTTCCAAAGGTCTACTGGACTAAGTACTATCAGACCAGCTGTAGAACCTGATGGCGCTGATCCGGGGTGGAATAACCCTCAGTACTGGTGTGTAGAAGATGAATTGTAGGCAGGTTTTGCTGATCAGCAGCCTAAGGATTGATGGGCTCTCTTTTGGCCTCTGATCCTGAGCACTATGGAGGCAGCATCAGAGAATGGGGACCTGAGCTACATAGGTTCTCAATGTTAAAACAACTCTGTTCGGAGTGACATATAAGAGCAAGAAATCTACAGCTGGTGTAAAATACCTTTGCCTTTTCTATCCCGAAAGTAACAAATGGCATCTGTACATGTAGGGGTAAAAACTCAGATGTCTACTCCTCCAGGCCATGGACAAGAAAAAGTACAGCAGTCAGAACAGTGGAACAAGTGATTTGCATTCTCTTCTTCACGCTTTCCTAGATCTGCCATTGGTAGCGCAGCCCTCGCCCTCCAGACATAATGCATCGAGCCCAGTTGCAGGGAACATCACTGTGTGTGTGTGATGTCATGGTGTTATATGTGTTGAGTTTAATGTTGAGCTGAAGCAAGTTGGTGACCTTCCTCTTTGCTCTTTGTAAAGAAGACACCAATGTTTGTCAGAGAAAAATCCCCAGCAGTCGTGTTGAAGAGGCAGTGTCATCCACCTACTGTCCCCTTTGGAACAGTTCAACTGCAGAAAGGTCGGATTGAGGTTTTGTGCTTTGTCGTTTTTCTTTTTTAAACAAAACATGACAACCTTGGCTTTTCCGATATGGAACACTTTTGTTGTTGTGGAGTTCCCTCTTGCTGTATCTTCTATGCAATTCCTTTTCTAAAAAAACCCCCCGGCAGAGGCAGAGTGCCCTCCGGATATCTGTCCGGCGCCTTGCTGAGTGGTGGAGGTGAGGGATACCAGCTCCGGGTGTGCCTCTTTTCTCTCCCTGGCTGCCAATCCTGATTTTCCCTGCAGTCCCCTTGGTTTGTAAATTGCCTGCATTTATTCTGTCAGCCAACATGTACAAAATGTAAGAAAGAATTTTTAAACAGGTAATAAATTATATTTATAAGCAACAAAGTGCTGCCTCCTTCACTTAATAACAAGGTTCTCTTGCGTGTTCAGAGCTGCCACGTGTTTCTTCGGTGGGACAGAAAGGCTTTGGGTCCTGCGTGGATGGTGATCACAACCTCCTGCAGGCACAGGATGAGGTTTTAGCATGGTGCTACTAAAAAATCAGCTGCACACTGGAATCACCAGAGAGGCCTTAAGAACTAACGCCAGGGTCACACCTCCAGAGATTCTGATGGAAGTGGTCTGGGGGTAGCCTGGGTCTTGGGTGTTAAAAGCTCCCGGGTGGTACTAATGAGCGGTTAAGGGTGAGAACCAATGTCTTAGAACTTCTGCAGAATTCTCTGGGGCGGGAGCTTCTAAATAGAGTGTCAAGCCCTGCCCCCAGAGATCTGATTTTAAATGAAGCTTGCAAACAACTATACTAATAGGTAGGAAATGAAAGGTAAGCAACTACCAGCAGAGGAGTTCAGCTTGGTACAGGACTGCTGGCCACTGCCTTAGGGCGAGCAAGCCAAGGGCTCCAGCTGTGAGGTGCGAAGCAGCTGTGAGGCTGAAGACTAGAATCAAAGACAGCCCTGTCCTCCATGAGAGAACGACCTGGAGACACTTCCTTAGATGGACTGCCACCTGCCCCCACCCCTCCCCTCAGCCTCCGTGGCTGAAGGGTGTAAGCAATTGCCCAGCACTGAGAAGCTGGTCCATGCCATGGGCTGGAAGAAAGTGACTTAAAACAATCCATGCTGGGATCATGAATTCAAATGTTTCTCCAAGGCTAAGGAAGTAATGGAAATATATAAACTGGAACCTGGGTAAAATCAAAGGGAGATGTAAGGGCTGCAGCTGAGCCAGAGAACTCAAATTCCATATAAAACAATGAAAATACAATGAAAACAATAAAACACAAACAAAAACTGTACTTTACATAGAAAACCCATGGTGGCAAAGGCTCAGCCCTGTTACCAGACCACTAACCCCTAATTAGAAGCTTTGGTAGCTGAGATTCCTGCTGAGAAGGCCTTACCTAGGATGGCATGCAAGCATTTTCAAAGACTTCACTGAGGGCCCAACCTAAGCCCCTGTCTCTCAGTGGAGGTCCCTGGAGAGTTCTGAAGCTTGGCCTCCCTCTGCTCCTGTCTCTCAGTACCAGCATACAGGTGCCAAGCAAAGAACCTTCAGCAGCCCCAGAGATCCCCACAGCTAAGCTCAGATCAGAACCTAGGGTAGAAATTAGAAATTACTTTGCAGAGACAAAACTTCTGAGAGTGCAGTCATCTGTACTTTGCTGCTGTGACCAGATGGAGACAACAAGCTTGCAACTTACAAAATGACCAATGCCAACAAAATAACCTTTTTTCCTCAGCTGAGATTTACTGTCAGTATGCCTGTGAGTTCTGCGAAAAGTTTAACTTGAGCCCATGACACACAGAAGTGGGGTGTACAGAAGGTGGGAGAGATGTACCAATAGCAAATCTCAGCTGGTTTTAAATGTTGCTAATTGTAGATCCTGCTAAACTAATGGCAGGAAGAAAAAGCAGCATTGGCCAGGCACAGTGGCTCACGCCTGTAATCCCAGGACTTTGGAAGGCTAAGATGGGGAGATCACTTGAGCCCTGGAGTTTGGGACCAGCCTAGGAAACATAGTGAGGACTTGTCCCTACTAAACATAAAATTAGCCAGCCATGGTGGTGCATGCTTGTAGTCCCAGCTACTTGGGAGGCTGAGATGGGAGTCACTTGAGCCCAGGAGATCGAGGCTGCAGTGAGCTATGATCATGCCACTGCACTCCAGCCTGGGCAAGACAGAGTGAGACCTTGTCAAAAAAAAAAAAGAAAGAAAGAAAGAAAAAAAGAAAAAGAAGAAAGAAAGAAAGAAGGGAAGGGAAGGGAGGGAGGGAAGGAGGGAGGAAGGGAGGGAGGAAGGAGGGAGGAAGGGAGGGAGGGAAGGAAGGAAGGAGGGAGGGAAGGAAGGAAGGGAGGGAGGGAGGGAGGGAGGGAGGGAGGGAAAGAAAGAAAAGAAAAGAAAAGAAAGAAAGAAAAAAAAGAAAACAGAGGAAGGAAAGAAAGAAAAGAAAGAAAGGGGAAAGAGCAGTATTTCTGAGCACCTGTGATGTACCTGGCATGGGCCCTCACATAATTCAGACACTCATCTTATTGGTTCCTCACAAGAGCGCGAAGAGGTGGGAATTTACAGGTGGGAAGACTGGGCTCAGATTATGTACTTCCAAAGAATGAAAAAAGTGGAAAATGGTGGAATTTAAGCAGGTCAGTCTGAATTCCAGCATCAGGATGCACTCTTTTGACACAAGTGCAGCTGGCTAACCACCACCAATCTCACGCAAACTCTTCATTCTCTCTGCGTCAGACGCAAACCTTCCTGCACTCTCCACTCCCCAGACAATTTTGGGCTTCCCTGGTCCTGATCCAATCTCCAATGGATCCCCTCACAAACCAAACTTCTCATTCTGCCCTCCAGGGTCCACAATGCTTGGAACAATAGCCCTAACACATTCCCTCCCCTTTCGCAGAGGTGACAATTCAGGGGCAGCAGCAACAGCCTCCTCCTTCCACATCTCAAATACTCCACAGCTGGGAGGCAGGTGGGGTCTTTCTCATACAAAACTGCTGATTCCAGATTATTGCATTAAAAACTCAATGCTTTGCATGTCAGGCCTCCCGGCTCAGCTGGCCAGCCCCTCTCTCTGCCTCTCACTGCCTGCGTCCCTTCCCATTCTCCTGTGGCACTGGAGAATTTTGCCTCACAACCTTCCTCTCCCAAGACTGCCACCTTCAAAATCCACGAAGACAACAAATCTAAAGGCCAGGATTTGGGTTCCTCTTTCATCACCAACAATGTTGCCTATGAATTAAATTCACCCCCTCCTGCGATCACACTCTCAGCTGCTCCCCCTCTGAAATCTGACCACAGCCTCTCTCTCAGTAACTGTGGAGATACCACCTCCGCCCCCGCCCCATCAGGATTCCCTGTCCTGGGACCTGGGTTTTTGTTTTGTTTTGTTTTGTTTTTTGTTTTTTTTTTTTTGGTCTGTTAGCTCCTCTAATTAATTCCTTCCCTCCTCTGGTCCATCAGCCCCTTGATAGTAATAATTCTTACCTTCCATGACCTGTTGCTGCGTTTGCATGATAAACCAGTACCCTGAATGAATCCTATCTTCGTTGTCTCTATACCTGTATTTGGGTTGCTGACAAAAAGATAAAAAAAATCATAAACCACAAGAAAAGTGGCACTATGAATTTCTGTTAATACTATAGTTGAGCACTTACCACATGCTTGGTGCATGGATTATGTCATTTCATCTTCAGAACAACTCCAGATAGTGGATATTAACATCATTCTCATCTTCAAGGGGAAGAAACATCTTCAAGGGGAAGAAACTGACCACAGCCCCTCTCTCAGTAACTGCGGAGATACCACCTCCGCCCCATCAGGATTCCCTGTCCTGGGACCTGGGTTTTTTGTTCGTTTGTTTGTTTGTTTGTTGGTCTGTTAGCTCCTCTAATTAATTCCTTCCCTCCTCTGGCCCATCAGCCCCTTGATAGTAATAATTCTTACTTTCCATGACCTGTTGCTGCATTTGCATGATAAAGAGGTCAAAATGTGCCCAGTCACACAACTGAGGGAGTGAGGGAAGCTGGATTCACACCAACAGGCCACCTGGCAGTCCCAAGTCTACGCTTGGCCACTGTGCCACAGTCAGCTTCAGGAAGCCTAACCTGGCCCTCAGAGTTGCCCGTAACCATCTGGCTCTTTCCCCATCAAGCTGTAATTTTCCAGTGCAATTTTAAACCTTCTTCACTTCTCTTAAACCACTGACTTCCCTGCCTTTCCCCTCACTCTCAGTAGATGACTGTGTTTCCTTCACAAAGAAAGTAGAAGCCATCAGACCATTTCTCTTGTCCTCCTGCCATGAAATGTGAAAAACTTACCTGCATCTGCCTCCTTCATGGTGCCTTCCCACCTGCTACAATGGGATATTTTCAAAGATAATAAATAAATAAATAAATAAATAAATAAATAAGCACAACTATAACATAACAGTCATGTTTTTTTCCAAGGGGAGAATGAAGCCATTTTATTTAGGGGAATGTTAAAACAAAGCCATATACAATCTGTAACAAATACAATACAATTGTTTGTTCCCTAGTCCTGAATAATTACAGTATATACAAAATCTGTAAGGCACTGGTTCCCCCAAAAGAACAAATGAGTCTTCTTGTGAAACAGACAACGAAACCCCTATATTGCCAACTTTTCTCCAAAAAATATGGCATTGTTTTTTTGTTTTGTTTTACAAGAGGAATCACAATTGCTAAATTAAGTCACTTCTGATGCCATTTCTTTCATTTCCACTGCTATGTGTCTGGGTTTTCTAAGGCAATGTAACTACTGAACATGTTCAAGTTTAAAAAACTATACTTCTCTCAGTGCCGTTCCACCCACAAACAAAGAAGAATCAGATCAGACCAACAACATAAAACTTCTAATGAATATGTATGACTGTAGGAACATGAAATTCAGTCATTATTAAGTACTTGCTATACTTGACTACACACCAATTGAAATGTGTCAAAGAATTCCCTGTAAATAAAATCTCAGCATGTTTTCTAAGAAGCTTTCTGTTTGGGGAATTCAAAAATGGGCACTAATGACTTTTGAGCAGTGCTTTCCAGGAGGTCAAAGGCCTGTTTCCTCATACATAATGGTCATAGCACTCTTTTTGTGATTTAACAATCTACACACTTTTATAAATAAATATTATGTTTCATTTAGTACTTTATCATCCATAATATCTTACTCTCTAATCCACATAATGGAGTTGTGCCAGACTCCAAACTGAACATAATATTTATATATACATATATATTTATATATATACACACATACATAAACTATAAACCTGAATATCTTAGCATACAAAACTTATCTAACAACTAATAATTTAGGATTCCTTTGAGAGGGAGGGGTTAGAAGAAACTCTTCTTAGTCTTTGAAATAGTCCTGACAGTAAGCAATAAACAACATTATTAATTTCTGGGTTCTCATTTATTCAAGTGAAAGACAAATAAAATAAAATTCACTTCTGAGCCACTAGAAATTTTGAAATCATAAAGGATTATTGGGAAATGAGTAGTCTTTAAGAACAATTTAGTGTTATCTAAGTAAAGTGGATTTTGGTAAGATACAGAGAAAAATCTATGCATAAATAAATTCTTGTTTCATTGAGCAACTATAATCGCTAAGTGGGTCTTTTTAAGTATCTCAGGAATGTTTTTAAAATATTAATAGTGAATAAATTAGATTGAGGATAGGACCAATCTTTTCCAAAGCAACCAAATATAATAAGGAAGAAGTTTGAAGACTATTTTAATTTCTTCCCATCCTTCATTGGAACCAACACCTCCCTAGAAATCTAGCTTAATTTCAAATCATCACCTCCTCACAAAATATTCTGATTTGACGTTATCCACGTTCAAGTATTTACCAAAAAGAAAACATAATTTTATCTACAAGGTAAGCCCAACCTCACTTAAATTTAGGAAAAACCCAAGAAACAAAAACATGACCCACTTAACTGGCATAAATGTTTACCTGTTGTTTTGTAGATGATCTGTTTAGAGGCACTGAAGTTTCTCTTCAAGGCTCAGATGATTAGTCACACTTAGTTCTAACCATATATTCCTTCTAGGCTATCCCTAAGAATATAACTGACACAAGAGAAAGGAACCTTTACATTATTATTGAGGTTATTTTTAATATCAATTGAAGCAGCGTTCTGATTACAGTTCTACTTGTTTTCTAACTGTTTTCACTCTTTAAAAACACAATTTTTTTTTTTTCAATTTCAAGGATTACGAAATTCTTCTGTCTTAGTTACAAACAAAATGCAGCTATGAAGCACTGGGAAGTAAATGCAAAATATAGAAAGAATCTTCATGATTCTCCCAAACTGTAAGCACAGCTCACAAAGTCTCATTGCTTTAGAATGTTTTCTGGATGAACAAGTTACCAGCTGCAAACCGACTTCAGAAGTGAGGAAAATGTTTTCTCATGTTTCATGTAGCTGTCAAATTTTCAAAAATCCTCCATCCTTCAATCACCCAGTGGGGAAAATGTGTTATAAAACACTGCCCCCTGGAGTATTCTGGGAGGAATGTCTTAAAAAAAAAAAAAAACAGCAAGGAGAAAGTACTTTCAAATTCTTTACTAACCACTAACAGAATTTCTAAGAAGCAAAAGAAAACCACAGAAAGGAAATGTATATGAATAAAGTTGAGCAGGATGTGTACAACTTTAAACTGTATTGTATTCATGTTGCTAAACAATATTGGCCTTCTCGATGATTTTATTCATGTTGCTCCAAAGTTAAAACCCTGTAGAACTAAGTAGGTGAAGAGATATTTTGTATAAGTGCCACAGAAGAGAAAATATAATAAATTAAATAGTGAATTGAGCATCACTAGAATAAAATAAAATGAGTAGGCATTCCTAAGATGTGAAATGATCACCTAAGATATACATGCTCCAACCATATTGATTTTAGAACAAAACACAGCAGCCCATAACAGTTTGTGGCCTCTACTAACTGTCCTCTGCTGTCCCATCTAGAGGTTATGTTTCTCTATTTTTAAAATAAAATGTAGTTAAATTAGCCTGACGGATGTTTCCTCTCTATCCCTTATCTCAGACACATACAAAACAGACAGACAATAACAAAAAGACATCATCTTTATCTGTACAAAATAAGGTATGCACACTTTTTTCTTTGTGCTTCTGAGATTGGCTCCTTTGCATATATAAGATACAAGCCATCTGCACGATCACCCTCATTTCCTATCTTTGTTGACATGTTCCTCTTACAACACAAGAGCAAATTACCTCTATTTGAAAGCACCCTGTCTTCAACACAGCTCATGACAATTTTATTTAATATTGATCCTTTGAATGAGAGATCAAAAGCATGCACAGGTCAATCCTCTGCACATTAAAAAAAAAAAAAAAAAAAAAAAAAAAAAAAAGCTTTCTTTGTGTTTAATGAAAAGGGTTTTACCATGAAAGAGATGCCTAACTCAATCAGAAACAGAAGTGGATCTGAAGAACACCTATCAACAATTACTTCTATTAGAGTCACATAAACCTTCATTTGTTCCATATTGCCTGAAGCTGCAAAAGGCCACCTGCAGGAATTCCAAATGTGGTCCTAGACAGGCGGTGTTTGTACCCAGTGCATTCACATTACCATAGCGGCCCCAAATGCAGGGATGGCCAAAGTGGTCTGAGGAGGCCAAGACGGGGTGGGGAGTATGTTTAAGATGAGTTCCGTTCTATGTCCTCCAACTTAGACTGTCTTTTGGTTCACAGAGTGCAACAATATTTTACCAATGGAAAAACAAGTATTTTAATTTACCTTCCAGCAGAGTTCCTGGGAAGAATTTTGTTGTTATTATTTAAACTATAATACTATAACCCTTAAACCATCCACATTATCTGTTTTATTTTGGCAAAATGAAAGCATCTTAAAAAAAAAAAAAGGCAATCACAAAATACAGGGCTTTCTTAGAAAGCAACATGCATCATATCTTGAACAAGTTACCCAAGCGGTTTCTCCGTCCTACAAACAGACATGGATCAATCTCTCCTTCTGGGAGCTTCTCTGTCTTTGCCCAGGTCGCTCCCTGAGAGGTGAGGTCTGAACCCACTGGGAAGCAGGACGATGTTCAAGGCTTGTACTGTGGATGCTTATTTGATGTCTTTTGCTCTGCCCACAAACAGAAGAGTACCTGTTGGCTTTCTGCAGAGATGCTTACTTTTCCTCTCCTATCAGAGTTTAATGTCCTGGGACTCTGACATTTTGGCAAGTGTTTTCTTAACCCGCAGGGCTGTCAGCCTTGATGCAGGATTGTGAGCCCAGCATTCTGTCATGAGTTTTCCCATCTGCCTTAGACACTGAGGAAGAGAAATGTTAGAAAAATGTATCATCTGCAAGGCTGGCACCTGTTACAATGTAGCTTTTTAGTTTTAGGTTCATTAAGTTTGAATATATTTTTAAAAGGTACCCTTAAAACCATGTAGAAGTAAAATTCTGTAAGCTTTTTTCATGCAAAATTATATATGACTAAAACAGATGTTCATGTCTTCTTTGTGATAGAAACAAGCAGGTGGTTCTGCTGATTGTAGAAAGGTGTCTTTGAAATTAGTGTTAAGCAAACATAAAAATACCCAGGGAGTCTGTATTCCACTCAATACTCCCAGATTGTTTATAACACTTGATAAGTTTTAATCTTTTATCTAATTCCATACTATGCAAACAAACACAGTTATTCCTAAATCATAGCTGTCTGCTGCAGTAATAGCATCACACTGCACCATTTAACAAGATTAATGACCTGTGCACAGCATCACTAAAACTTTCTCCTGTGGTACATCAATTATTGGTCTTCCTATTGAAAAGTACAATTTCACTTCATAAGAAATCCTCAGTGAAGAGATATCAAGTAACACCAAAAGCCCACAATAACAGAGCTCCAGCATCTCATAAAGCTTTCTGCACAGCTTGCTGGAAAACGTATATATTATTTAGCATTTTAGTAACCAGACACAAAACCAATGAGCCAAAGGTGTTTTTGTTTTTGTTGTTGTTTGTTTATTTGTTTTAAGACAGGGTCTCGGTCTGTCGAGTGCAGTGTCATGATCCTGGCTCATTGCAACCTCCGCCTTCCGGGTTCAAGCAATTCTCGTGCATCAATCTCCCGAGTAGGTGGGAATACAGGTGTGCACCAACACACTAGGCTATTGTTTGTATTTTTTAATAGAGATGGGTTTTCACTATATTGGCCAGGCTGGTCTCGAACTTCTGGACTCAAGTGATCCACCCGCCTCGGCCTGCCAAAGTGCCGGGATTACAGATGTGAGCCACAGTGCCCGGCCCAGAGATTATATTTAAATGGCTTTTACACTTCAGAAATAGTGCTCTGTCCCCCCTTTGCAGTGCTTTGGTACGTTTGATAAGAGCCTGTTTTTTTTTCCAGTGGTGCTTCAAACTCATCTTGAACATTCCAGTCTGCCAGAGAACTCTAGAACATGGTGAGTTTGAAGGCTGCGAGGGTGGAAGGAGAGGAATGTGGAACAGGAGGAGGAGTCAGGAAAGGCAAGACTCATTTCTTCCTTACTAGCCGCTGCTTTCCAGACCTATGTAGGTTTCACCACTACAGCCTTAGAGCCAAGCTGAAGGTGGATTTGTTCAAATCACATCTCGTCATCCTTATTAACAAAGACACCCAGCACAGTCAGGCATCTTAACTAGGTCAACCTGTATCACTTTAACATGCCTACTTTTTTTCTCTAATCAAAATGGGAGAATGCTGTACATGGGTTTGTCACAGAGAAAAATTATGATGCTTTAAAAACACACACAGAGAAATAATAGGTTTTATGCAAATGTCAAGACATTATAAATAAAGAAAATAATGTTATTTGTTATGCAGGCTAAACACTGACCAACTCACTCAATATATTCTGGAAGTGGCAAAATAAAATTGGAAAAGTAGAACAAGTAATTTAACATACTACACTTATCTTCATATAAATTACTGCAATGAGGCGCCATCACCATCACCATCAAAAAAAGAAGAATTCCTACAATCAATATGTGGAATTTTAGCTAAAAAAGAAAAGTCTATTTAGAAGTCTGTCACAGCCACATGGTTACCTCAAGCCTTACCTCATCACTGCTCCACCGGTTTGGGAATGAGGGGCGTAACTTCTTGATGCACACAATCTCCCTCATGTCCTCATAAGAGGGGTCACTGGGCACTAGGTCATGATAAGGAAGCTGGTATTCTTCCACTATACCTAAAAATATGTTGTTACTATTATTATTATTATTATTATTTTCTGTGAAGTAGAAATAAAAGTCTAACACAGTTCTCAAAGGAAAAGTGCTATCAGTATTACAGACAAGTTCAGGCAGAAAAATAGCAAAATAAATCTTGAAAAATATTTACCCAAATGGTACTTAATCTAATTTAGAAAAAATGAATACAAAGCCCAATGAAAAATATTGTCATAGGTCTTCAAGCCTTTCTTTCCTAATTTCCAAAAGCTAAGTAAAACAAGCATCTTAAATTTATTTCCATTTTTATGAAGAACAAATTAAAAGACAAATCTATATTAAATCTCAATGCAAATCTGCAAGACATATCCTGAACTCATACTACATGTGACTGTTTCTATTACTATAGTATGAAACTATGAATATCATAATAAATTCAGAAGTGTATCCTACTTGAACAAAATGTCAGATTTACATTTTTTCTGCTTAATTGTAGGAATGTGGTTTTGCACATTAAAAATTTAGAAAATTACAGACACCCAAAAATATTAACCATGAATTTTTTAGGTTCAAGGATTATCTGATTTTTTTCCTATATTTATCCAAATTTTCAGTAAGGAATACATTACTATTAGAAAAAATATGTATTGTTAAAAGAAAAGAAATATAAATCTATAGCATCTTCATAAAAATGCACACTAAACTTTCATTTTATTGTTCCTAGTATTTAATTTCTACCTTCTTCCTCTTCTCCTTTAAAAATGCAGGCTTCTAGTATCTTCTTTTTCACCTTCTTAAGATTAACTCCTTATAATAATTACATTAGAGGCTGCTGCTCTGAACAATCTTTTGGGAGCACCCCTCCTCCCTATCCTAAATCATCTTTTATAGAAATATCATTGCTTTTCATCTGAAAAAGATGATGCCGTCAAGTTGGCAGATTATATATCACATCGTTAAATTCACTGGGGGCTTACTCTGCCAAAATCTGGGGTCTGTGTTATGTTCTTTCTTGTAAACTCAAATCTGTTATAAAATCATCAAGGACCAGAAGGTTCAGAAGTTTTTTCAGACCATTCCAACTCACCATTTGTCCTGTGCCCTGCTGTGACCACAGAGCTAATTATATGTATTATCTATGTTAATATTTCCTTTCACTGTGTTTTACCTCCATATGAGATAAGAAAAGCACAGGGCCTAACACGCAGGATGTGCTCTGCTTCATTTCAGTTCTTTCTCCCTTTCTCATTCTCAGGACCATGGCCCTGGAAACAGCCTGAAGGCAAAGCCCACATCTCTTTAACCCATCTCCTATTTTCCGCTGGTGGATGGACTGATGGATGGGGTGGGGTAGGTGTATCTACTACAACAGACGAAGGCAGAGCTCACCACTTAAAATTATGAATTACTCAAATCTAACTGTTGAATAATAGGCCTTATTCTTTTCTCCATGTCATGTAATCAAGTTTTCAAAATTTCCTGTTAGCTGCCATTTAACTCTGTTTGAAACCTCAAACCTTTCTGTCTTTCTTCTCCTTTAAAAGATGGAAAGGCCTACATCTGGATGTGTCTCTTTCACCCAGAAGGGCCTGGACTAGAAAGATAAGCCCAAAAAACTTCTAATATCTTCATAAAGTGTTAGAAAATAGAATTTTGTGTGCTTTGCCTCTCTGGAAAAATAAAATCGCTTATTGAGAGCTTCCTCTATCCCAGTTGTGGAAACAGGTATGCTATATAAATTATCTTATTAAATTCTCACAAATGCGTTTCTGAGATGACATTATTCTCCACACTACTCAGATGAGGAAACTTGGCTCTCAGGGGTTAAGTAACTTGCCCAAGTCCATTCAGTTGGTATGGGACAGAGCAGGGACTCCAACACCTCTAACAATAAGGCAACATTATAGCAAATCTCCACATCCAAAGACAGCCCTAGCAAAGCAAATTAATACCCTAGCACAGCAATTAATACCCTGCTGTTTATATAAAGCTACTTTGTTTTTAAGCTGAGAATAATTTCTCCTGTATTTGGCCCACAGGCTTTCAAATATAGGCTTCCTGTAGCCCTGTTTGTTTTAGATGTTCAAGAAAACATAATTAGAAAAATAACCTTGTTCTCTACACCTTCAACTTCCATAAAGCTATCTTAATTAAGTATAAGCATATTATTTTTTAAAAGGCTCGTCTACTTGTTTTTTTTTTTTTTTTCTTTTTAAATACAGACTGGGTCCCAATCTATTGCCCAGACTAGTCCTCAACTCCTGGCTTCAACTGATCCTCCCCGCTTGGACTCCCAAAATGCTGGGAATGCAAACGTGAGGCTTATCTACTCTTTATAATGCGTGAAATCAAGGCATAGACAATTTGTTAAATTTTTTGGTTACTTCTTCTTTACACTTAGAATGAGAAATTTATTCAATATCTGGTTAGAGAAAATTTCCTGCATTAACTTTCCTTTTGCACAAAATAGTTCCCTCACTTCAGAGAGTATGTGTTCTATTTCAAATTTCTTAAAACAGGTTCAGAATTCCCAAAGTGATTATTAGAAGGCACTGTGCCACTGATAATGATCTTTCTATTGAAGTGTGAATGCAGGTTGATTAACTGTTTCTTCTTTGTATTTAAATATGAACCTAAAGATGTTATGGCTCTACCAACCAAAATGAAAAGTATTAATAGTAATAATAGCTAACATGTATTGAGTGCTATTTATGTGCCAGGCAGTTCTCATTATCTTTACATTGAAACCATACAACCACAGAAGCAGATACAATAATTCAATTCATCTTTAAGAGGACTCTGAAACAAAGAAAAGTTTATAACCTGTCCAAGGCATCACAGATAAATAGCAGGAACAAGAACACATCTCAGTACTAGTTAAGTGCATGCTGCACTTTCAGAATCTTCAGCAAGCTCATGTTTTCATGAAGATAGACTTAAATTGGCCATTATGAGGAACAGCAGCAGCATCAAGGTTTTTTAATGAGCACAACCATGGAATAACATACAGAAGAGTTGATACAGAAAAGCCAAAGATTCAGCTCCTTGCCTAAAAGGTGTCAGAATTTACTCGAAGACAGACTGTAGAGCAATCAAAATAGTACAAGTAATAATACTTCTGAATATTTAAATATGTCTTCTTGTTCATTATAATTGTTTTTACTAGGGAATCCTCATATGTGTAGAAAAAACAATATAAAAAAATAATACTCTGATACTTTAATTTCCTTTTGATAAAAAACTGATGTTTTCAAATTGCTTTATGGGGAAGTTTTATAAAAAATACAGCAGGTAAGAAATGGGTGTCCGACCCCACATTTATGGCCTACTGTCATCTCTGCAGAGGAAATCCCAGGGAATGGAGTTGGGGATGGGGCCCAGCAGCTAGGTGAGAATAAACTGGCAGGGACAGAAAAGGGGGTTTGATTTCATCGAGCAACTGCTGGAGGAAGAACCCAAGACAGAAATAAGACAATACACAGAGCAGAAAACAGTGATGCTTGAAAAAGCAGGGTAGGCTGACAGTGTGTCTAGTGGCAGCTGGAGGAAGGAAGCAGTCAAAGATTATTCTAGGATGTCGAATATAATTTCCTGGAAGCACTATGACTGCATCAACAGAAATAAAGGGGAAAATAAAACCAGATCTTATAGACAGTATGATAACTTTGATTTCTGATCAGAAAGAAAGGATTTATAGTAGCTCCAATAGTAGCTTTTCAAAGACAGCACTGTTTCTTACCTCCTGATACACATCTCCTAGCAACCTCCCAAAGGATGAGGCCAAAACTATACATGTCAGCCATGATGTAAGACTGGAAGTGATTTCTGTTCAAGCTCTCGTCCAACACTTCTGGAGGCATATAGCGTTTGGTGCCAACTCGAGTGTTAGGTGGTATGTCAACTTCATTTGTATCACTAAGGAAAAAGTAAAGCAAAGCATTACAGCATTGAAGAGGACCAACAAAAACGAATCAAGGTGATTCTGAAACAATGGCTTTAGTTAGTGAAAAGTGGAAAAGAAAAACTTTCCAGGGAATAAAAACAATTTCTTAAAGAATATTTCTTGCCAAAAGCTATATTAAATATTTACAGGTTAAAAGCCAATGAAAGGCAAGCTGATACTGTGGTGCATGCCTGTAGGCCCAGCTATTCTGGAGGCTGAGGTGGAAGGATAGCTTGAGCCTAGAGGTTCAAGGCCTGACTGGGCAACATAGTGAGATGCCATCTCTTAAAAAAAGTTAGAAAAAAAAAACAATGAAGATAAAACTCAGTCAGAATGAAGCTGCAGCATTTAAAATTGCATTACCAATAGATCAAATTTATACCCTAAACAACTGCTAAATATATATTAAATATCTAAAAAAACCCTCTTCCTTCCCCTCCTATTTTAAAAACTTTACTCTTAAAATGGGCATGCACACATGACAATTTCATGTGAAACAGTATTTTTTAAGCCAGCTGTTGTAAAGCTCTTAGATCTATAAACAGGTTTCAAAAGGGGAGAAGGAGAGAACCAACAAAGACATGCAATTGTTTTACTCTGACAAGGTGGGACATATAAAAAAGCTTTCTGCTATCACTATTGTTTTATGAACCAAATAGCATTTAACTTTTTTTTTCAAAGGAAGAAAACAATAATGGAATATAACATCTTTAACTTTCTGAAAATTTTACAACAGGCCCATTTACTATTCCTTCCCATAGACTGGGAAAAGAGTAATGACGGAGGGACAACAACCTGCACACTGGCACTTGGGAACCATTGCTTCAGTGCGATGAGCTGGAGCCACAGTTCCAGCCCCTGTTCTAAGGGTGCTGAATGACTAGGCTGATGATTAAATGAGATGACATGTACAAGCCCTGCCAACATGGTACTAGGCACATATTAGATACTTAAGTACTGTAACTCATCAGAAAGTAAAGGAACTAGGTAGAAAAGTAACAAACCCTAGATATGACAGATGAACAGACTATAACCAAATAAGGTATACTATAAAACCAAAAAGGTACAGAAACTCATTATTAAGCTGAACTCTGTGGAAAATCTTGAATAAACCTTTCTACCTCCTGATTCCCAACAATTTTTTTTTTTGCTTTTGCTTTTCATTACACTCTATTGACTTTCAAGAATTTACATGTTATTTCTCCTCAGCCTGGAAAACAGATTCATTTATCGAATATCACACTTATCCTGCTGTCATAGATAGTCAATACCAAAACACTAGTGGCTTCAGGAAAAAAACAAAAATCAAAAACCTCTGGGTTTGATCTCATTGCCTTGACCACTTCTACAACATGAAATACATGGTGTCATTTTTTGTCATTTGAGAACATTTTAAGTGTCATTCTGAATATCTCAAAATTTTTACATTTACTAAAACATAAAATGCAAAACTTCATTTTAGAACATTTTAAAGTCACTTCCGGCTAGAATTCTTAATCTAAAATTTTATGTTTTAGATAAGATGACATATCAACAGATATGTCATCAGTGTACTCATTAGGCCCCTCGTGGTTTTCTAGGTGCAATAATAACTAGCCTGTTTTCTTAAATAAAAGTTAAGACGTTAAAAAAAAAGTTAAAGTGTAATTAAAAAACAAAACAGATGGTATTCTTTACCATATGCAAACATAGGTCCCAGTGTTCTGGGATCTTTTCTAAAACTGGAAAAAGAGGCTAAAATGTTAATTCTCAGCACTTATTGGTATAATAGAAAATTGTCATTTGTATGTGTAAATGATAAATGACAGGGGAGGAAAGTATGCTGAGAAGAGACTTAATGGTAAACTGGAAACATGTCAGATTGAATAGATGCTACAAAAGCTCCATTTCCATTTATAAAGCACGCTCTCCTCCTACTCCACCTGCTGACACCTCTCATGGGAGCAGAGTAGGGATTTCACTAATGTGGTGCCAGCATGTCCTAATTTTAATTTTTAATCATGAGGAAGATAGTGGTGACCCCAGGTAAGAAGTCCTGGGTCCCATGCAGAGAAAACAAACATGAGGGTTTGCAGATGAAAAGAAGATGGTTAAAGACCTCCACTGTATTCCAGAACAAGAAGAATCTTAAGACAATCCACACAGAAGGGCATTTAGAAAGGCCAAAGGTGTAATCTGACCACAGTTGATAAAGATTTTAGGCAATTTCATTCCATTCTTACTCTTAGCTCCTTAATGTTTATTTGGATTTGGGAGGTCAGGAAAAGATAATGGAATGTGTGATGTAGAGATATCTATTAGAAAAATGAAAGGTAATTGTGACCTAATAATAGAATTAAAATTTGTGACAGCTGGAGTATACATAGTTCATCTCTAAATTCTTTTTCTCAAACACTGCAAAAACATACACTCAAGGATTCTGAATGTCCACCAAATGCCAAAAATCAGTCCTTTACATAGTCCCTTAAATACATATGCATGTTCAGCAATAAGCCATCTCTCTCCTCCCCTTCCTCTCCCACCCTAGACGTTTGCCCTAGTAGTAGCTGAATAAATCTTCTCCCTAGTAACATTTGAGTAAGTAATCTGTTTTCCAACTGAAGACTATCAACTCCTCTGAGCCCCCAAATACTTGTCATAGTCATTTGGTATATCCCCAAAGAGCATAGCCCCAATCCTTCTCCATTCGCAGTGTGTCTTGCACATGACAGGAAAATAATGTACTTTAAATGAAAGAAGGAAAAGGTTTGTTTACACTAAACTTTGCTATGGATAATTTAAAGGGAAATGTAAAAATCTCTGGACTGCATGGGCCATAAAATGAGATCTTACCAATTTCTAGAAGGATAAATAGAATTTTGTTGAGCAAACTAATTTTGTGAAAGATCACTATCAACCTATTGGCAAGTGCCTTTAGCACTACACTTAAACAACAAACATGAGAATTATAGGTAATCCATATCTGATACTGTAAAGTGTCAGATCCTCCAAAACATTTAGCTCTGCCCCTTCTTCCCTCAGGCATGTTTCTATAATTGAAAGTCATTAGACTACATTTCTTTCTCAGATTTTCAGTAGCATCATTTTACCTGTTCCCAAATAATGGCAGAGAAAAATCAAGCTTGTGTTAATCCTAAAGCCAAAAATAGACATAAATGTGATTTAACACTGGGGTGCCAAGAATAAAGGAAGAAAAAGGGAATGGAAGTAGAGTCAGATGGTGTGGTACACGTGAGAACAGACAGTACAACAGACGGAAAGTTCCAGGAGAAAGAAGGAGGCAGAAAAGGGCAGGGTGCCTTCTGCACTAGCTTCCTCTAGCCTCCTTGTCCACAGAGGGCTATGGAGGGGAGAAACAAGGTTGACAAGAAAAGATAGATACTGCACAAGGGCTGTAGACTCAGAGACAATAATTCCAACCCCACGCAATAATCCTATGTACTGCAGTAGCTACATACATATGAAGTCAGATTATAAAATCATACAGAGGAGACATAAATAGGATACTCGTTACTTCTGGGAAGGATAGCAGGAAATGAAAAAGGAATGGGACTGCAACAGGGCTATCTTCAACATTTTATTTCTTTTAAAAAGAAAAACCAGAGAAAAACAAGGTAAACTGCTAACATCTGTTCATATTACATGGGTGTCTCATTTTTATACTTTTGTGTATGTTTATATCACAAATATAAGTATATATATTTCTAAGTATAGTATAAGTTAAAAGAACCCAGCAGGATCCAGAACTAGAAAATGTACATTTCAAGGATTACAGGACAGGTTATAGGCATAAGGACGGGAAGAACAAAAGTGATATAAATAAACTGGATAAAATTACAGAGAAAATGAGCTGCTACGAAGGAGAACTGAAAATATCCCATTAAAAACAAAAGTGTTGCATTCACTACAGAAGAAATGTTCTCTCTCTTCTTCTTTCCCATGGAGAATGGTTGGAAATGTGTGCACAAAGAGGTCATTATTAAGAGTAGGGTTCAGAGAATTATAAGAGTAGACAATTTTGCCCTTTTATACTTCAATAATCAATGCTGCCACTAGATCCAACATGGCTTTTGTCCCTGTTAATGTGAGTACTAAAGAGATTCAGACTTAAGTAGAATTAGAAGGAAATACAATTTGAGGAAAATAAAATAAAGAGATGTCAGATAAATTCCTCTCCAGGAAAAAAGCTTTCTTAGTTTTCAAATCATGCTTCAATGAGTATTTTTTTTAAAAAAAAAAAAGGCCTGGTGTGGTGGTTCATGCCTGTAATCTCAGCATTTTGGGAGGCCAAGGCAGGTGGATTGCTTGCTTGAGTCCAGGAGTTCAAGACCAGCCTGGGCAACATGGTAAAACCCCGTCTCTACTAAAAATACAAAAATTTGCTGGGTGTGGTGGCACATGCCTGTAGCCCCAGCTACTTGCGAGGCTGAAGCAGGAGGATCACTTGAGCCCAGGAGGCAGAGGTTGCAGTGAGCCAAGATCACACCACTGCACTCTAGCCTGGGCAACAGAGGGAGACCTCATCTCAAAAAATCAATAAACATTTAGGGACAGTGGAGATAGAACAGGATAAAATGAAAATGTCTACAATTTTCTGAGTAAGAAATTAATGAGAGCCTGGGGGTAAAGGGGAACTCAGTGAGGGAGAAAAAGGGTTCTGTTCTTCTAGCCTAGGGTCATAAGATACTAAGCCCTGTAGGGGTAAAAAAAAAAAAAAATTGGGAGAAATGTCCAG
This sequence comes from Homo sapiens, assembly GCF_000001405.40. Lineage (NCBI taxonomy): Eukaryota > Metazoa > Chordata > Mammalia > Primates > Hominidae > Homo > Homo sapiens. The sequence goes on along the minus strand of NC_000004.12, from coordinate 95,143,984 downwards.
GTGGACTAAATTTTATGTACTATCTTCCATCACAATCTCCAGTAAAAACATCTTCAAACCTGAGCTGTTCGTATTTTGGAAGCCAGGAACCAGCAACTATATAATGTGGAAAAGGCACAACATATATGGGAGCTATCGGCTGATAATGCAAAGGGGAACACAACTCCTTTGAATTCCCAGACAAGCAGTGAATAATGCTGAGTTCCCTACTGTACCAGGTACGAATGAGGTTAATGTCTGCATTCATCTGGATCTCAAAATGCAGGGCTGCTCTCAGCTAGGATTATTTAAAGAGGCCAGAAAACCAAGTTCATATTTCTGACCAAAGTCACTTGAATGACAGTGGTATGATATAGAAAATGCCAGCATGGTGGAGTATGAGGTCTACATTGATAATCAAAGGGCTTCATAAGTCTATGGACACTCCAAGTGGCTCTTCTACCCCAGGGAAGACACTAACAAAGTGACAGTTCTGTAGGTTATGGTTTTGAGGGTAGGGAAGGGGAGCAAAGGGAAAGACTTTGAGAGAGAGAGAGACAAGAAAATTAAAAGACACACGAAACTATGATTTTCCTCTTCTCCTCTGAAGGTGCCAGGGAAGGACATACCAAGGAGGGGGTGATGGGAGCCACTCACTCTGCCAGGAGACATATTTTAGCCACTGACATTGTTTAGAATTGCAGCACATGGTGACAATAAAAGTAGGATTTTAATCAGTTTTATTATCGACAGTGTACTCCCTTCCTGCCTGTGCCTGGTGTACCACCCCTGGCGTGCCCCTTAGCACAGCACTGCTGCCTGGTATGGCGTGTGTGCACTGCAGGTGTTAGTGTAACTGTGGGAGGGAAGTCATGGGGCTGCTTGTGTGTGCAGAAAGGCTGAAAGTGGAGCCTTCAGCTGGGATCCTGAGCAGGTTGGAGAATGAAACATGAGCACCCCAGTGGACTCAGGGAACAGTGCATGCCTTAAGCTCTTGACTATCATGCATTAAATGAGGGCAGGCAAAAGATTTTTGTTTCGGTGGCAAGGAGTAAGGGGGAGTTTTTTAAAAATATAGTATCTCTTCAGCCTCATAATATATTAAATGTTTTTCATGTTAATTAAGCCTTTTAGTTATAAACCTAAACCCAGAAATTCTGGCTAAAAGTGTTATGTTAAAAAAAAAAAAAAAGAGCCCCAACTACTTGACTGAGCACAGGGCACTTTCCCCACTGTACCATAAACTGAAGTAAGAGTCTCATGAAAGTCCTAAGCACAGCCCGCTGTGGCAATGAGAGGCGAGCGCAGGGAAAGAGTTGCTAGCTCCAACAAGGTGGCTCTACCTCATTGAGCCTTTGGGCACATGCGGATGGTCCTCCTGCTGGATGCTGTTGATGCCTAAAAGAAAGAGAGGAAAGGGAAAGAGAGGAAGTAGGAAGGTAAAAAAACGTAATAGACAGGAGAAAGAAAAGAGAAGCAAACATTGTACCCCTTAAAAAATCTAAAAAGCTTCTTATGAAATAAGAACTGTACTTTAAAGAGTGTGTGGAAAAAAAAGGAGGCATGAGAAGACATGTGAAGGAGGCCATGGGTTTGCCTGTGGCTTGTAAGTGATGTCTGAAATTAACTACCCATTACATATACTACAGGATGTTAAATCCTCTCTCAGCAAGATGATTTGGATTCCCCAAAAGCATAAAAAATTCTCAAGAGTCTATGGAAGAAGGGGCTGTGCACATCCCTGTGGGTTTCCTGTGGCATCCTGGAGATAGCTGAGGAACTGACTTGCAGAATTGAACTCTGCCTGGCAGATGTTCACCAATAAGGGGAGTTTTCTGCAGCTACTTTCAACATTCAATGCTGCTATGATAAAATCCCAAGAAATCTCAGGGTATCTTAGAAACAGAACTTTAGAACTAAAAAGTCTTCAACATAAGGTGGGTATGGTTGCAGAAACCTTGACTGGGAGTGTTCACTATGCCACGAATGAGCTTAGTTTTATGACTTTGGTGGGTCATTTAGCCAAATCAATTTTAAAATGCAAACCAAAAGCAGTGCTAAAAAGAATCATATCAGCAAGACTCAAGAAATTCAGTACCCTCCGAACTAAGCTACCCTATCTCTTTTGTACTTGGATAATTTCTCAATCATCCACTGGACATCAGTGTGACAGCCTAGTCTTTATTGCAGGTTTTTTATTTTAATTTAATACCAGAGAGCCCTAAGCCAGGATTTATTTTTCCCATATGAAAATATTTTGTTCTGACTCTGAAGTCTCAGAGTGGTTGCTGAATTCTTCAGAGTGAAGAGTGAAAAGCTTTGTAAGTTTCTTCAAGGCATTTCATGTGTCATTGTTTTCTCCTCCCAATAGAGATTGAAGGTAATGGTGATGTCCGCCAGCACATCACCTGGATTAAATTTCTGCTGAGCAGGAAATGCATCGGCACTTACGTCACTGTCAAGAGAATGCATGAAGAAACCAATACAGCGTTTTAAAATTTATATGAGCAGGAAATCTCTCAGGCACAGTCTGCTCCCTCTCTGTGGCTCTCGACTTCCCTGGGAGCCTTTCAGAAATGACTGAAAAGCCTAAGAGAACACTTACCATTACACAGAGACTGTCTCACAGGAAGTTCTCATATGAAGTCAGAGAATTCAGCACAGGGTAAGCTGTGACTCCACTTGTAATTAAAGTCTAAATATCCATGCATATGTGCACAAATACAATATAAAACAGTGGAAAAAAAAGAGTAGAAACTAAAGAAACACATAAAGCAAGTTTTAAAAATTAGGCTCAAAAACTGAGAAGAGCAAACTTTGAAACATAGAAAATAAAACTGGAAAAAGCACCTCTGAAATGATCAAATGTAACCTGCATGTAATGGAAGATGATGCTGAGGCCCAGAAAGGTAGATGGCCTCACACAGCTAGGCTATGGCCATAGGAGTCTGCACAGCCAACATCTGAGCCATCATCTTCATCTCTTCATCTCTTGATGAAGTAGTTAATATATGCCAAGTAAATGTCTGAATTATCCCTTAAAATAGTCCCTCCACTTCCTAGAATCAGGGTTTGTATGAAATTTGAGAGGTCATTCAGTTCATTCTCCTTCCATTAAGCAGAACTAAGTTTCTATAATATAATAGATACTCACTTTCCTTTTTTGTTTTAAGGTCTATAAAGGAGATGAGTCTCAGTTACTTTGCTATTGCCTACATTTATTGATTCACAACAATGTTAGAATATCTATAATGGGTAACTCACTATGTCATGTTAAATGGGAAATATATTAATTAAGCTGGCATGTATCCTGCTCTCAGGATGCACCATCACTGGTAGGAGAAATGAAGCATGTCCCAAAATAATTATAATACCAAGCAGACAAAGACCGGGAAATTAAAGAGTAGTACAGAAGATGCTGTCATTATTCTCAGCTGGGGGATGAATCAAGTGACTTAGAGGTGATTCTGAGACTGGATTAAGATACATGGAAAATCAGGGACTTTCCAAGCTAGGGACTGTGCAATCAAAAGCAAGGCAACAGCAAGCATGGAATATATAAGGAGAAAATTCAAGCAGCTCAGTTTCGCAAAAGAAAGCATACAAATTGGAGAGTTTGTAGAATGTAAGATTAGAAAGGGGGATTTCGTCCAGAATGTGTAGGATCTCTGGTGTTAGGAAAAAAGTTCTTTTTCCTTCATCCTGTGTTCCATATGGAATCATTTATCCATTAAAAGTTAAGTAATGAGCACCAGGGAAAGGCACTAGAAACGCAAATCTGAAAAATGCATGTTATCTACTTTCAAGGGGCTTACTTTCCATTGGGAATGACAAATAAGTAGTCAATGATGACTACATAACAGGCAAGACATTTCATGGTAATAAGCACAGAGTTACATTAGAAGACATAAGAACGGAGACTAAAAACAGCAGGTGGGGAAGTTACAAGATGGCCGAATAGGAACAGCTCCAGTCTATAGCTCCCACCATGAGCGACGCAGAAGATGAGTGATTTCTGCATTTCCAACTTAGGTACTGGGCTCACCTCACTGGGGCCTGTCGGACAGTGGGTGCAGCCCACACAGTGTGAGCCGAAGCAGGGTGGGGCATATCGCCTCACCCGGCAAGCGCAAGGGGTCAGGGAATTCCCTTTCCTAGCCAAGGGAAGCCATGACACACGGTACCTGGAAAATTGGAACACTCCCACCCTAATACTGCACTTTTCCAACAGTCTTAGCAAACGGCACACCAGGAGATTATATCCCGCGCATGGCTCCGAGGGTCCCACGCCCGGCTCGGAGGGTCCCACGCCCATGGAGCCTCGCTCATTGCTAGCACAGCAGTCTGAGATTGAACTGCAAGGCGGCAGCGAGGCTGAGGGAGGGGCGTCCGCCACTGCTGAGCTTGAGTAGGTAAACAAAGCAGCCAGGAAGCTCAAACTGGGTGGAGCCCACTGCAGCTCAAGGACGCCTGCCTGCCTCTGTAGACTCCACCTCTGGGGGCAGAGTACAGCTGAACAAAAGGCAGCAGAAACTTCTGCAGACTTAAACATCCCTGTCTGACAGCTTTGAAAAGAGTAGTGGTTCTCCCAGCATGGAGTTTGAGATCTGAGAACGGACAGACTGCCTCCTCCAGTGGGTCCCTGACTCCTGAGTAGCCTAACTGGGAGGCACCTCCCAGTAGGGGCCGACTGACACCTCATACAGCCAGGTGCCCCTCTGAGACGAAGCTTCCAGATGAAGGATCAGGCAGCAACATTTGCCGTTCTGCAATATTTGCTGTTCTGCAGCCTCCGCTGGTGATACCCAGGCAAACAGGGTCTGGAGTGGACCTCCAGCAAACTCCAACAGACCTGCAGCTGAGGGTCCTGACTGTTAGAAGGAAAACTAACAAACAGAAAGGACATCCACACCAAAACCCCATCTGTACATCACCATCATCAAAGACCAAAGGCAGATAAAACCACAAAGATGGGGAGAAACCAGAGCAAGAAAGCTGAAAATTCTAAAAATCGAGCACCTCTTCTCCTCCAAAGGAAGGGAGCTCCTCACCAGCAATGGAACAAAGCTGCACGGAGAATGACTTTGACGAGTTGAGAGAAGAAGGCTTCAGACAATCGGCATTAACAAACTTCTCCGAGCTAAAGGAGGATGGCCAAACTCATTGCAAAGAAGCTAAAAACCTTGAAAAAAGATTAGACGAATGGCTAACTAGAATAAACAGCATGGAGAAGATCTTAAATGACTTGATGGAGCTGAAAACCATGGCACAAGAACTACGTGATGCATGCACAAGCTTCAGTAGTCGATTCGATCAAGTGAAAGAAAGGGTATCAGTGATGGAAGATCAAATGAATGAAATGAAGTGAGAAGAGAAGTGTAGAGAAAAAAGAGTAAAAAGTAATGAACAAACCCTCCAAGAAATATGGGACTATGTGAGAAGACCAAATCTACGTCTGATTGGTGTACCTGAAAGTGATGGGGAGAATGGAACCAAGTTGGAAGACACTCTTCAGGACATTATCCAGGAGAACTTCCCCAACCTAGCAAGGCAAGCCAACATTCAAATTCAGGAAATACAGAAAACACCACAAAGATACTCCTCAAGAAGAGCAACTCCAAGACACAGAATTGTGAAATTCACCAAAATTGAAATGAAGGAAAAAATGTTAAGGGCAGTCAGAGAGAAAGGTCGGGTTAGCCACAAAGGGAAGCCCATCAGACTAACAGCTGATCTCTCAGCAGAAACTCCACAAGCCAGAAGAGAGTGGGGGCCAATATTCAACATTCTTAAAGAAAAGAATGTTCAGCCCAGAATTTCACATCCAGCCAAACTAAGCTTCATAAGTGAAAGAGAAATAAAATACTTTACAGACAAGCAAATGCTGAGAGATTTTGTCACCATCAGGCCTGCCTTACAAGAGCTCCTGAAGGAAGCACTAAACATAGAAAGGAACAACCGGTAGCAGCCACTGCAAAAACATGCCAAATTGTAAAGACCATCGATGCTAGGAAGAAACTGCATCAACTAACGAGCAAAATATGCAGCTAACATCATAATGACAGGATCAAACTCACACATAACAATATTAACCTTAAATGTAAATGGGCTGAATGCTCCAATTAAAAGATACGGACTGGCAAATTGGATAAAGAGTCAAGACCCATCAGTGTGCTGTATTCAGGAGACCCATCTCATGTGCAGAGACACACATAGGCTCAAAATAAAGGGATGGAGGAAGATGTACCAAGCAAATGGAAAACAGAAAAAAGCAGGGGTTGCAATACTAGTTTTTGATAAAACAGACTTTAAACTAACAAAGATCAAAAGAGACAAAGAAGGCCATTACATAATGGTAAAGGGATCAATTCAACAAGAGCTAACTATCCTAAATATATATGCACCCAATACAGGAGCACCCAGATGCATAAAGCGAGTCCTTAGAGACCTACAAAGAGACTTAGACTCCCACACAATAATAATGGGAGACTTTAACACCCCACTGTCAACATTAGACAGATCAACGAGACAGAAAGTTAAGAAGGATATCCAGGAATTGAACTCAGCTCTGCACCAAGCAGACCTAATAGACATCTACAGAACTCTCCACCCCAAATCAACAGAATATACATTCTTCTCAGCACCACATTGCACTTATTCCAAAATTGACCACATAGTTGGAAGTAAAGCACTCTTCAGCAAATGTAAATGAACAGAAATTATAACAAACTATCTCTCAGACCACAGTGCAATCAAACTAGAACTCAGGATTAAGAAACTTACTCAAAACCGCTCAACTACATGGCAACTGAACCTGCTCCTGAATGACTACTGGGTACATAACGAAATGAAGGCAGAAATAAAGATGTTCTTTGAAACCAATAAGAACAAAGACACAAACATACCAGAATCTCTGGGACACATTTAAAGCAGTGTGTAGAAGGAAATTCATAGCACTAAATGCCCACAAAAGAAAGCAGGAAAGATCTAAAACTGATACCCTAACATCACAATTAAAAGAACAAGAGAAGCAAGAGCAAACACATTCAAAAGCTAGCAGAAGGCAAGAAATAACTAAGATCAGAGCAGAACTGAAGGAGGTAGAGACACAAAAAACCCTTCAAAAAATCAATGAATCCAGGAGTTGGTGTTTTGAAAAGATCAACAAAATTGATAAGACTGCTAGAAAGACTAATAAAGAAGAAAAGAGAGAAGAATCAAATAGATGCAATAAAAAAATGATAAAGGGGATATCACCACCGATCCCACAGAAATACAAACTAACATCAGAGAATACTATAAACACCTCTACGCAAATAAACTAGAAAATAGAAGAAATGGATAAATTCCTCGACACATACACCCTCCCAAGACTAAACCAGGAAGAAGCTGAATCCCTGAATAGACTAATAACAGGCTCTGAAATTGAGGCAATAATTAATAGCCTACCAACGAAAAAAAGTCTAGGACCACATGGATTCATGGTTGAATTCTACCAGAGGTACAAAGAGGAGCTGGTACCATGCCTTCTGAAACTATTCCAATCAACAGAAAGAGAGGGAATCCTCCCTAACCCATTTTATGAGGCCAGCATCATCCTGATACCAAAGCCTGGCAGAGACACAACAAAAAAAGAGAATTTTAGACCCAATATCCCTGATGAACATCGATGCAAAAATCCTCAATAAAATACTGGCAAAACGAATCCAGCTGCACATCAAAAAGCTTATCCACCATGATCAAGTGGGCTTCATCCCTGGGATGCAAGGCTGGTTCAACATACACAAATCAATGAACATAATCAATAAATGTAGTCCGTCTGGTCCTGGACTTTTTTTGGTTGGTAGGCTATTAATTATTGCCTAGCAAAGACAAAAACCACATGATCATCTCAATAGATGCAGAAAAGGCCTTCAACAAAATTTAACAGCCCTCCATGCTAAAAACTCTCAAAAAACTAGTTATTGATGGGACGTATCTCAAAATAATAAGAGCTATTTATGACAAACCCATGGCCAATATCATACTGAATGGGCAAACACTGGAAGCACTCCCTTTGAAAACTGGCACTAGACAGGGATGCCCTCTCTCAGCACTCCTATTCGACATAGTGTTGGAAGTTCTGGCCAAAGCAATCCAGCAGGAGAAAGAAATAAAGGGTATTCAATTAGGAAAAGAGGAAGTTAAATTGTCCCTGTTTGCAGATGACATGATTGTATATCTAGAAAACCCCATCATCTCAGCCCAAAATCTCCTTAAGCTGATAAGAAACTTCAGCAAAGTCTCAGGATACAAAATCAATGTGCAAAAATCACAAGCATTCTTATACACAAATAACAGACAAACAGAGAGCCAAATCATGAGTGAACTCCCATTCACAATTGCTTCAAAGAGAATAAAATACCTAGGAATCCAATTTACAAGGGATGTGAAGGACCTCTTCAAGGAGAACTACAAACCACTGCTCAATGAAATAAAAGAGGACACAAACTAATAGAAGAACTTTCCATGCTCATGGATAGGAAGAATCAGTATCGTGAAAATGGCCATACTGCCCAAGGTAATTTATAGATTCAATGCCATCCCCATCAAGCTACCAATGACTTTCTTCACAGAATTGGAAAAAACTACTTTAAAGTTTATATGGAACCAAAAAAGAGCCCGCATTGCTAAGTCAATCCTAAGCCAAAAGAACAAAGCTGGAGGCATCACACTACCTGACTTCAAACTATACTACAAGGCTACAGTAACCAAAACAGCATGGTACTGGTACCAAAACAGAGATATAGACCAATGGAACAGAACAGAGGCCTCAGAAATAATACCACACATCTACAACTATCTGACCCTTGACAAACCTGAGAAAAACAAGAAATGGGGGAAGGATTCCCTATTTAATAAATGGGGCTGGGAAAACTGGCTAGCCATATGGAGAAAGCTGAAACTGGATCTCTTCCTTACACCTTATACAAAAATTAATTCAAGATGGATTAAAGATTTAAATGTGAGACCTAAAACCATAAAAACCACAGAAGAAAACCCAGGCATTACCATTCAGGACACAGGCATGGGCAAGGACTTCATGTCTAAAACACCAAAAGCAATGGCAACAAAAGCCAAAATTGACAAATGGGATCTAATTAAACTAAAGAGCTTCTGCACAGCAAAGAAACTACCATCAGAGTGAACAGGCAATCTACAGAATGGGAGAAAATCTTTGCAATCTACTCATCTGACAAAGGGCTAATCCAGAATCTACAAAGAACTCAAACAAATTTACAAGAAAAAAACAACCCCATCAAAAAGTGGGCGAAGGATATGAACAGACACTTCTCAAAAGAAGACATTTATGCAGCCAAAAGACACATGAAAAAATGCTCATCATCACTGGCCATCAGAGAAATGCAAATCAAAACCACAATGAGATGCCATCTCACACCAGTCAGAATGGTGATCATTAAAAAGTCAGGAAACAACAGGTGCTGGAGAGGATGTGGAGAAATAGGAACACTTTTACACTGTTTGTGGGGCTGTAAACTAGTTCAACCATTGTGGAAGACAGTGTGGTGATTCCTCAAGGATCTAGAACTAGAAATACATTTGACCCAGCCATCCCATTACTGAGTATATACCCAAAGGATTATAAATCATGCTGCTATAAAGACACATGCACACATTTACTGTGGCACTATTCACAATAGCAAAGACTGGGAACCAACCCAAATGTACATCGATGATAGACTGGATTAAGAAAATGTGGCACATATACACCATGGAATACTATGCAGCCATGAAAAAGGATGAGTTCATATTCTTTGTAGGGACATGGATGAAACTGGAAACCATCATTCTGAGCAAACTATCGCAAGGACAGAAAACCAAACATCGCATGTTCTCACTCATATGTGGGAATTGAACAATGAGAACACTTGGACACAGGGTGGGGAACATCACACACCAGGCCTGTCGTGGGGTGGAGGGGGGAGGGATAGCATTAGGAGATACACCTAATGTAAATGACAAGTTAATGGGTGCATCACACCAACATGGCACACGTATACATATGTAACAAACCTGCACGTTGTGCACGTGTACCCTAGAACTTAAAAGTATAATGAAAAAAAAAACAGCAGGTGGGCCAGGCATGGTGGCTCATGCCTATAATCCCAGCGTTTTGGGAGGCTGATGCAGGAAGATCACTTGAGTCCAGGAGTTTGAGGCCAGCCTGGCAACATAGTGAGATCCCATCTATTAAAAAAAAAAAAAATTAGCCAGGCATGGTGGCACATGCCTGAAGTTCCAATTACTCAGGAGGCTGAGGTGGGAGGACTGCTTGGGCCTCGAAGGTCAAGGCTGCAGTGAGTTGTGATGGTGCCACTGCACTCCAGTCTGGGTGACAGAGCCACTCTTTGTCTAAAAAATAAAAATAAAAAAAGGTGTCTCAAAGGAAGAAACTGTGAAGATCAGTAGTTGTGATCTAGATACAGAAGGGGATATGGGTGTTCGGGTAATGATAAAAGCATGTTATAAACACTTGATGGTATGAGAAGTGTGAAGTCTTCAGAATAAATCTTGCCAAAGGTAAGAAGTGTGGTGGAAATAGGGCAGAAGAATAGCCCAGGGTCAGAAAAGAAAAGAGTCCACTGCACCAAGGGACTCTAACTACATTTTAATACGAAGCCACAGGAAACTATGAAATTATTTTGATGCCCAAAATTAGGCTTCAAGAAAATAAATTCAGTGGCAGCATGTACAGAAGACTGGAAATAGGAGAGACAAAGAGAAAGTAACTCAAAATGCTTCACCCCAGAATCTAGAAAAATGGTATAGAAGGCCCACACTGGCCCAGTACAAATGGGAATATTGTGGAAAGAAAATTCATTCACTTGAGCAAACCAAAAGTTAGGGAACGAAAGATGATGTCAGATACCTAATATTAAGAATGGATCAGCCAAAACTGGGAACTAGGAAGGAAATGCAGATACAGCAGGAAATCTAGCAGTCGGAAAATATGTAAGAGGTAAAAAGAGAGCAGAGCCAGTGGAGAGAGAGAAAGGAGAAGTTGGAGTACAGAGATACACCAAGAAAACAGGAGAAAGAAAGGTTTGGACACTGTGGATAGGGTGATGGCAATAGAGAAGGCCTCTGGTGACCAAGCCCAGTGGTGTCTCTGAATACAGCAGTGTCCAAAGAGAATGGAACAGAAGCCAAATTACAAGACTATTAACAAATTGCTGGGTTTTCGAAGCAGATGATCTTTTGGAACTCTTGGGAGAAATTTAACAGGGTGAGAGAAGGAGAGAGAGGCTGGTAATTTAAGAAGCATTGTGGGATTTTTTTTTTTTATAGGAAGACTTGAAAAGGGTTGTAGGTCAGAGGAAAAAAAAATCAGAAGGGAGAAAGGATTTAATAATCTTTATTGGCAGGAGGTTCATATTTCTAACTTAAATCTATAGCCCAAATCATTTCCTCTTGCTTTGTTTTTAAAGATCAAGAACTTCAATTTCCCATCCTTTACATGGTGAAGACCTTCATATATTTGGGGTATGTTATTAAATCACACCTCAGCCTTCAGTTCTGGCCGAAAATACCAATCAATCAGTCTTTTTTTGTGAATTTTACTTTCCAAACTTTTAATAATCTCCATGACTTTTTCTTTGTGCTCCTCTCCATGTATTACAGAGTCTTACTTAGAAAAATCCACAAGATGATCCAACATTTATTAATGGCTAAGCCTAAACTGAGTTCTTTAAAAGGTAGTTATACGATGATTTCTCTACACCAGTGGTTTGCAAGCTCATTTTGTTTTGTTTTCCAAACAGAGAAACCATTTATTCGAATTAAATCATCTGTGAGACGGAAGGAGCCTCTCTGATTAAAGTAAGAGTAAGCAAAATAGAGTCCCAACTATCATCTCCCCTCCCTACTGTGAAGAAGCTACTGATGTAACCCAAGCAGCCCTAAGGGTCTGAAAACCACTGTTTTACAACATGCTCTGGTTTATGTGCACAGATGTTAAATTCACTGTTTCAGGTACAGGATAACAGTACTGAATAACAGCTGGGTTTTGTTTATTAGTTTCTAACATTTCTCCCAAAACATCTATGCAAGTTATCTTTCCTATACCATATAAAAATTGTCTTTATCCATATATAATCTGTAAATTTTCCCCAAAACTTTTTCCTACTTGCAAATGTTATGCAGAATTCTGACTACGTATTCCCAGGAATTAGCTACTTCTTTTCTATATAACTTAATGACAGCTGCAAACCTAATGTGAACAGTCTCTAAGCAATGTCTCTGATGAGCATAGAAACAATAGAACAGACCCAAATATGCTGTGTTGCTAATAAAATGTTTGGTGGTTCTCCCCGTCAAATGTCAAAATTAATGATATTCCTCTTCTACTAAATATCCTAGAAGCACTGCGCTACAAAATAAAAAGTAACAGAAAAGAGTCATAAAACATGTATTTGTTCACTTTGATACTAACCTAATAAATTTAACAGCCAGGCCCAGGTCAGCAATACAGCAAGTTCCATTTTTCTTCACCAGAATGTTTTTACTTTTCAGATCTCGATGGGCAATTGCTGGTTTGCCTTGAGTACTAAAGATTTCTGTGTGTAAATGACATAAGCCACTGACAGAAGAGTAGGCTAACTTCAGCATTGATTTAGCGTCTAGGGTGGTGGACTTCAGATAATCATAAAGGGAACCATTTTCATGATAGTCTGTGATTAGGTACAACTGGGTCCAGGACCCTGTCCCTTTGATATCTGCAGCAATGAAACCTAAAAGGAAAAAAGATGAAAAGGTTTAGTGTTTTCCAAATAGTATCAGGAATAATTCATATTCTCAAACATCATTCTTTGTCATAGATAATTTTTGTTTAGCATTTCATTCAATTTCCTGACTATGCCTATGATGGTATTAAATGACTAATACCAATAAGAAGCAATCAAAATTGTACAAGTAAGGCTAGGCACAGTGGCTCACACCTGTAATCCAAGCACATCGGGAGGCCATGGCGGGTGGATCACTTGAGGTCAGGAGTTCAAGACCACTCTGGTCAACATGGTGAAACCCCATCTCTACTAAAAATACAAAAATTAGCTGGGCATGGTGGCATGTGCCTGTGATCCCAACTACTCGGGAAGCTAAGCAGGAGAATTGCTTTAACCTGGGAAGCAGAGATTACCGTGAGCGGAGATCACACCATTGCACTCCAGCCTGGGTGACAGAGCGAGACTTTATCTCAAAAAAAAAAAAAAAAAAAAAAAAAGAAAAGAAAAGAAAAAGAAAAAAACCTGTAGGAGTAGAGAAAGATTAAGAGTTTACATCTGAAAATATGGTCCCTTCCTAATCAGTAGTTGATGTTTAAACTACTTTATGGTATTACAAACTACTATGGTATATAAACTACTTTATGGTATTATGGTTACACATAAGACATTGCAAAACAGGGTCTTGAATTCTTGAATTAAGGAATATACCCCACTGATTAGCTTACTCTCCTTCTACTTGAACGATCCAGACAGATCATTTCTAACTTGCGAAACAAAATCAATTCTCAATATAAACTATTGATATAAATAAACCCTGCAGATAAGATTCCTACAACTTTTCTCAACATTTAAACAAAAATAAGTTCCTTCAAATTCCTAAGAAACCCTAAGAAATTCTGGTTTTACACTCGCATTTCCTGTTTCTGAAGAAAAAATATTTGAGAGTATTCCATTTCCAGCCTACCACTTACTCACAGAAGTGCCTTAGTCATTCCTCCTGTGAGGTCTCCCATTAGAAACTTATGATGTTCTTGGGCCCATGCCAAGAAGAAAACTTCAATACATTTCGCAACGGGTCTAGACAGATGAGTTAACATGCAGATGTTAACAGAAAGACAGAGGAAAGCTAGGAAACCCTGAACATAGCTATGCAGACTTTTACTCACCCAAAATGTTTTCATGCCTCATCAACACTGTCTGATATATTTCTGTCTCTCTGAACCAGCTGGCTTCCTCTGTGGTGAAGAACACTTTCACAGCTACCTTTTCGCCACGCCACTTTCCCATCCAAACTTCCCCATAGCGACCTTTTCCAATCTGTTTCACCATCTGAATCTGCTTAGCTATAGTCCTTTGGACCTGTGAAATCCCAAAACACACTGTTAGTGTATTCACAGCGCTACAGATTTGTTTAATCTTTTTTTCTCCAGAGAAGAAACGATTACTGCATGTAAAATATATTTAGCTAGTATTTTTCTCTATATAGACAACTTATTTGTATTTATTTATTAATTTATGTTACACTCTTTTAAACATATTTGAGATTGAGTGTGGATTCTGAATGTTCAAAACACTGCTTCCAAATTATGAAATACTTTATTTTAGTATTATTATTTTCTCAGAGAAAAAACCTGAGTAGGCTCATAGTAATCAGCAGAGTAGAATACTTGCACTTCCCCGTTATAATGGACTACTACATACTCTGAAGAGACTCGTCACCATACACCTAATCATGTATAAATATAACAAAACAAAATTGTAATGCATTGTTAGGCACATACAGAAATAAAGGAAATCTATATGCAGGGAGGAAGAAAAAAGGGAGGGAGGGAGGAAGGAGGGAGGGAAGGAAGGAGTTGAGACCAGACCAGGGAACGATAAACCAAGCTGCCGTCTGGGCAAAGAACAATACCAGAACTGGAATCCAGAGTTTAAACTCTGACTCCTTTAAAACCAGAGGAACTGAACCTAGGGCTTCAGCATTAAGCAGAGAGCATCAAATGGTACTAAATTTGCTATGGGTTGGTAGCATGCCAAGGCTCCTCATTACAAATGCTCTCTCTTGAGGAAACCATTTGCAGAATACTTTTCATGCCGTGACTATGGCGGGATAATAGTACTTTGAAGGAACTCTTGCCACCATACAACTTGATCATGGGTATAACATAAGAAATAAACTGTAATGCACTCCTGGGCTCACAGGGAAATAAAGGAAATATCCAAGAATGGGGAGGAAAAAGGAGAACAAAAAAAAATGGAGGGAGAGAAGAAAGAAAGAGAATGAGAGAAGATTATAGAGAATGAATTCTTTAGAACAAAGAAACAGTCACTATAAATGAGAGTCAACAGAAACAACCCAAGTAGATTTAACCTCTTCAGATTACATACTGGAATTCTGAGATACAGAATGCCAAGTAACTCTAAATGAAATGAAAATTGAATAAAAAATAAGCAAGAAAAGATTAATGGAAATTACATTTTTGTAATGAGACAGTTAATTGTCACAATAAAAAATGCAAAACAGGTAGACAAACCAGCATATTAGAGAGAAAAGTTAATAAGAGAAAGTAACAAGTTGGAGATAATATTATTTACCAAGCTCTAAGAGAGCTCTGAACAATATTATAAAGAGTGGAGTACAGACAAAGAGAATGAAAATATGAGTTAAGTGGCATTAAATTTAAATGTCTCTTTATATATGATCTTCATCACATCTGTACTTACAGTAAAATATTTGAAGAACTCTGATATCAATGGTTCCAAGATTGAAAGGGCTAAGCATCTATTACAATTTATATAATTTAGAGGACATAAGGAATCTAGCGTATAACTCTTATAACACCTGATCAGCAAACTGGAACGTATTCTTTGTAGAGATATACTTTACACCAATTAAAAACTTAAAGTTTTTCTTTTTGTACTTTTAAGAGCCATGCAATTACATTGGGCCACCCCAGATAATCCAGAATGATCTCATCTTATCGTCAGCAACCTTTGCTCACCTTTGTCATAGAACATAAAATTCTAGGGATTAGGTCTGGGCACGGTGGCTCATGCCTGTAATCCCAGCACTTTGGGAGGCTGTGGAGGGAGGATCCCTTGAGTCCAGGAGTTCAAGACCAGCCTGGGCAACATGGCAAAAACTCAGCTCTACAAATAATATGAAAATTAGCCAGGTGTGGTAGCACACACCCGTAGTGACAAGCTACTTGGGAGGCTGAGGTGGGAGGATCGCTTGAGCCTGGGAGGTCAAGGCTGTAATGAGACAAGATCGCACCACAACACTCCAGCCTAAGTGACAGAGTAAGACCTTGTCTTAAAAAAAAAAAAATCCTGGGGATTAGGGCATGAACATTTTGGGGGGACATTATATATTATATATTATTTATAATGAAGATTATAAATTTCGTAATTTATTAAAAAAGAACTGCTGATGTACCATGAAGCCACTGAAGCTTGATGGAAATAAGCAAGCAAGTTTATGTGTAATGCAGCCGTCCTCTCTTTAGGAGCCCTGTGCGCCATGAGACATCATGTTGAGTCCACTGTACTCCATTTCCAAACAAGGAAACAGGAGCAACATGGGCACCAGTTGGGAGCCAAATTCATACACAGGGAAATCACTCATTTGAGAGGAAACTTCCCACATTTATTAAAGAAAAATATTTAATTTACAGATCTTACAAAGCATTGCTCATGTAAGTCTATGGAGAATTTCCTAACATAAGCAGTTTTGCATCTGCTTTTTTTTCTAACGATAATACATTTTATAATTTAATTATAAGTTTTGACAGAATTGGCGATACTTGATAGAATAGGAACAACTTATCCCAAAGACAGAAAGTAAGCTATTATAACATGTAAGGACCTAAAAATATAACTTCAAAATTTTTTAACTGATTTATTTTAGTTTTTATTTGATTTAGCAAATGTTTCTGGTCCTTCTGTACCTAAACTTTAATTCTATATTACATTCTTAGATACCAACTTTTTAGATTGATTGTATAAATAAAATGCCTGTAAGATACAATGACTATAACTGTACTTTCAAAAAGATCACTATATTTCATGTACTCTGAGAATAACTGAATGTATAAGGAGTTATAAAGAATTATCACTATTCCAGGACTGTGAGAAGACATACACAGAACACACACACACACACACACACACACAGTCTTAATTCTTACAACAGCCCTACGATATTATTTCCTTTTAAAGTAGGAAAAAATTGACATTTTATGAAAAAGAAAAGATGCAAAATTAAAGGGCACGTATAAAGTCATTTGTTAAACACAAGGTCCAAGTATGTGGTTATATATAAGGCACTAATTTGCCCATTATGTTATTAAAATTAATAACAAATCAATGTTAAGATGAGGTATTCACTCACATATCAATATATGGAGAGAGAACTGTATACCTCTGCATTGTTTATCTTAATAACCAAATCTTAAAACCAGAAAATAAATCTGTAATAGAGACTTTTTCTTTATTGAACTGAGTTTTATAGAACCCTCCTTCCCATCCTACCGCCATCAAATGCACTTTCTTGTTTTATTTAACCAACATTTAGTTCACATCTCACTAATGTTAAGAGCACAGATCATCTGGGTTTGAATCCTGGCTTCTCCACGTACTAGCTAGCTGACCTATCTGGGCCTGTATCCCCTGATGTGTAATACAGGGTTATACTGATATTTCTGGTACTACCTTATAGGGTTGCTATGAGGACTAAATGAGAATTTGATTTAGTTTTAAAGGCCAATGTCTGGCCAGGATTGGAACCCAGACAATTTGGCTTGAGAATATATGCTTTTAATCATTATATGATGTGAGCCAAATATTATTTTTTGGTATCTGGATTATAGAAACAAGACAGTATTTTTATAGCTATTAAAAGTAGGAGCTGAAAGCTTTTTAAAAACAAATTATTGAACAGCGCCTATAATAAATCAGCCACTCTACTGGGGATAGAAAGTGAGCAAAATGTAACCTCTACCCCAAAGAGGACAGACTCCACCAAAAGACACAAGAACATTACCACTAATTATAACATTATTTTAAATGGCCATTATTAGTGCTAAAAATAAAATGTTATCACAGAAGATAAATAGACTGGCTTAGTCTGGGGTAACTGAGAAGTTGTCACAGAGGTAAAACATGAGGTAGGCCTTGAGCCATGAGTTGGAGTGATGTCCAGTAAAGAGATTACATTTGCAATGACGTGGATATATGTTGTATTTGAGAAACAATTACTCAAAGGTGATGCTAGAGCCCAGGCAGCATACTGGGAAGAGGTGGGAGGAGACGTCAGGAAGGCAGGTTGAGTTTATGTGCCACACATACCAAGCTGGGAAAGAAGACCTGCAAGCAGTATTGGGTATTAGGATATTTTACCCAGGACATAACAGTGCAAGATCAATGGTTTTGGAGAAAGAACTCCACAGTAATGGGAAAGATGAGTTTGAAGGCAAGAAACACTGGAAGAACTCAGTTTAAATTCCAAGAGCATCTAATTCATTAATACCAAAAGGGATTTTACTATTTGTACATCTCTTTTAGAAAAAAATAAGTGTAATACTATTGATTTTCAAATTGTATTTGCTCATATATTCTCTTCAAGGTTGGCAGTGCTGACCATCAGAAAATGAAGCTTCTCCTGAATGGAAAAGCCAGAACTTTACCCTGAAACATAAACCCCACAGCTGAAAAGCAACCCTCTTTCTTTGTAGAAATACTGAGAAGCCAGTTGGTTGTAATACTTTAGCCTTCAAAAGCCAGGCCAAAGTGCGGTAATGCTATCCTTATGGAAAACACAGGGAAGATGGTCCCGTGTTTAATGTTTTCTAATCTGCTCTTCATCAGAATGTCTGAGGGTCTGGATTGTAACCATACACCTACATTAAAAAACAATCACCTTACTCTCAATATGTCAAAATGTTATCAGGAAGCCCTGCAGCTGAGATCGGATGTCCAACAGACTGCATAGAGCTTTCTCCTTGTCCAGTGCCCTATTTCAGTAAGTGAAACCCCATATTCATTGACAGTTCTTTCAGAAAACATTTCCTTTAAATTCAAGATGTGTTCTTCTCATACCAGCAGAGGGAGGCCTGATCCACTTCCTGAGCTCTGAGACTGCTCAATTAAGTCTCTCAGGGATTCTCCAGGAGGAATGTAAGTTTCATCCTGTTCTAACCCAATGCTGTATCGAGGTCTGGTTTCTTGTCTTTTATACCTAAAGATGGATAGATGAAGATAATTTTAGATAATGAAATGCAATGATGGAGTAAAATATTGCAACTAAAATGGTAATCACAGCAGTTTTATTTTAGCACCTAAATATAATACATTAAATGCTTCATATTTTTTACTCTTAGTTATGGTTTCCCAAGTAAAACTCATTACTGTTTGGCTAACCTATTTTTTAAAATAAACTAAATAAACTACATATTTTTACTCAGTCTCAAGCATCTACAATTTTTCTTCTTTTATTTATTTCAAATTGCACATATCCAAGCAGACTACATTCTACTAGTGTTTCTAAATAGCTCCAATATTATTCCTTAAAATCTTTTCTAAGGTCCCTAATTAATTAAAGATGTAAATTTTGGGTGTACAAAAATCATTATAGCTAACTCTCTTATATAAGGTCATATCTAAAGAAATAATATAAATTTAATCTTTAAAAACTTTTTGTCAATACTTAAGTTTTCAATTAGAAATGAATTTATTTGAATCAATTAATCTGACCATTTGCAGAGTATCTCAAATGAGTAATAAATTAATCAAAAGGCAAATGACATAAATATCAAGGTCCTTAATATTTCACAATCTAGAACATAAGTTCATAGGCCATTAAAAAAATAGGAATTACCGAATTTAATATAATAAAGGACCTTATTTTAATGATTAATCTATAAATTATGTTTAAAATCTTTTAATAATCAGAAACGTTATAGCTTAGAAAATAAGGAATTTGAGCAACTCTTAAGTTCAACATGGCCATTTCTCTGCTTGGAATCAAACCTAAGTAACAACCAGTCTCTGAAGTCTCTAACTACCCTAGTTTCCCTAGGGATAAAATATTTATATGGGTAGTTTTGAAGTCTGAAGCAGAAATGAGATAGGTATCTATTTGTAACTTCATTAGGACAAATATTTATCAACAGTAACAGACATTTTCAGTTAACTATAAGATCTAATTAAGATAAATAAAGCTGTGGTGAGAAACACTAACAGGCAAAAGCAGAATATTAGTAAAAAGAAGACACTATAAATTAAAAATTTTGCATCTACATGTTAGAAACTTACCGGAAGTAACAAAATAATATGATAAGGACCAAGAGCAAACTACAGACAGTCACAGATATAAGTAAAGCCCTGTGGTGTATAGGTCCATCAACAAAATCTGAAATTAAAAAGAAAAAGAGCCATAATCAAGAGAATATTTTTACTTAAAAATAAGAAAGTAACTCTTTCCTAAAGGTACTTGCTAAGTATCACGCACAAAATGTGAAAGATCCTTTTCACATACCAATTAATTTTTTAAAAACCCATATATACTCAAAATTAAATAAGTTTGACTAGCGTGAATCATCCTTCACCTAGGCACTTAATCAAGAGCACACATTTCTTCCTGTCTGGAAGGAACAGGCTCGACACAGGATAAAACTACAGAAAGAACATCAACAAAGCTAAGTGGGTCTGTGCACCCACAATAGAAACAGGTAGTTCATCTTTATTACAGACGCAGCTCATGGGTTCATAGGCTCTTCTCATGTGGTCTCTGGAGTACTCTATACCATGAATTTGAATAAAAAAGCATCTATATAATTCATGGGACATAAAACATAACTCGTTGTATATAAAGTCATCTTATAGTGGATAAAAAGGAAGTGGACCCCTCAAATGTTGCCAAATAGAGAATATATGGTTGTGCGTTGTTTTAAACAAAAATGTGTTCAAAATCCATACTTTTTCTTAAACTGAATCATATTTTAAAAGAATGTATATGTTCCAGCCAAAGAATGTATGATACTTTTATACAACAAATTATTAAACACTACTCATTTTAACTCTAGTTCTTGACAAATCAGATTCCTCAAATTTTATATAAATGACTTAACTTTATACAATGTATATTCACTGACTTTAACCCCAAAGATTTCCATTCAAAGTACTTTATTTTTAATAATCATCCCAGGTAAATTTTACACGGGTGATTTCTGGGACATATTTTGAGGAAACTGACTTAAAACCAGGTGCACTTATATAGTAATACCATTAGTACCATTCTTATTAAAGGCACCATTTACCTTTGAGAGAGTGATTACTGTCATTTAATTTTAAAAGGTAGTATTGTAATTTATGACTTTGGATGCTATGGACAAGACGTTTTCCAACTGTACTATATACCTTTAACTATATGGCCACCTAAATATTTTGGCTGGGAATGTTCTTCCACTCAATGTAACTTTTTTTACTCAGAAGTATTATATGTTACATGAAGAAAAACTGAAAAGGATCAACTAACCAAAATAAAATAAAATCACTACCTCTTCAACACTCAGGAAAAATTACTGCTAACAGTATCATTTCAATAAAAATGTTCATAAGCAAAATATAATATATACTGATTTATAACTAGGTTGTTCTCATTTATAATACTGTGAACATTTTCCAGAACAACAAATATTTTTTTCTGCAACAGGATTTTTATATTGACACATAATTATAATATTTTAATACATACATAATGAACAGTGATCAGACAGCATATCCATCATCTCAAACACTTATCATTTCTTTGTGTTGGGAACATTCAGTGTCCTCCCACCTATTTGAAATTATTTATTATTGCAACATGACTTTTTTTTTTTTTTGATACAGGATCTTCCTCTGTGGCCGAGGCTGGAGTGCAGTGGCACAATCTCAGCTTACTGCAACCTCTGCCTTCTGGGTTCAAGCGATTCTGTGCCTCAGCACCCTGAGTAGTTGAGATCACAGGTACGAGCCACCACGCCCCACTTATTTTTGTATGCTTAGCAGAGATGGCTTTTTGCCACGTTGGCCCGGCTGGTCTCAAACTCCTGGCCTCAAGCGATCCTCGGTCTCCCAAAGTGCTGGGATTACAGGCGTGAACCACTGTGCCCAGCTACAACCTGACTTTTAAAGACTAAACTGTATTATACATAAAATCATCCTAATTAGAAAGTGAATCTTCTGTCATACATTCAGGAGATTCTAAAGATTCTGCCATAAGGCTTCTTTGTTATACACAATTCTGTAATAAACACTCTTACACATACATCTTTGCACATGCTAATGATTATTTCCTTAATAAGATTCCCAGAAGTAGGTGTGTTAGTTCATAAGATATATATTTTAAGTCTTTTCATACATATTGTCAAATATTCTTTTTAAAAGGTAACAGTAATTTCTATTTTACCATCAATGTGAACAAAGATTTTAATTATTTTGAAATAATTTCACCCTTACAGAAAAAAAATAAGAAAAAAGAATTCCAATGTGCCCTTCACCTAGATTTCTCATTGTTAACATTTCATCATTTTAAAAATAATTATCTTGCCTTCTCAATGCCTCTCTCTCTCAATATTTATGTATAATATGCATACATACATTTGCATTCAAATTTTTTATTTGTTTACTTATTTGTGTGTCTGTATTATTTTTGGATCATTTAAAGTTTTAGACATAATGCCACTATCCACTTATAAATACTTCAGAGGGTACTTCCTAAGAACAAGGATACTATCTTACTAAACAATAATGTGCTCAAAGGGTTAATGCACAGCCCCGTGATGCGCTTATTTCACACTGCATGCCCAGATCAAAACATCTAGGAAATTATCATGAACACATAAACTGAACATAAATCTTCCAATCCATGAGCATAGGATGTTTTTCCATTTGTGTTGTCTCTGATTTCTTTCAGCAGTGTTTTGTAGTTCTCCTTGTAGAGGTCTTTTACCTCCTTGGTTAGCTGTATTCCTATGTATTTCATATTCTTTGTGGCTATTGTAAATGGGAGTGTGTTCTTGATTTGACTCTCAGCCTGGATGTTATTGGTGTATAGAAATGCTACTGACTGGCTGGGCACAGTGGCTCACGCCTGTAATCCCAGCAGTTTGGGAAGCCAAGGTGGGCGGATCACCTGAGTTCAGGAGTTCAAGACCAGCCTGGCCAACATGGCAAAACCCCGTCTCTACAAAAATACAAAAATTAGCTGGGCATGATGGCACACGCCTGTAATCCCAGCTACTGAGGAGGCTGAGTCGGGAGAATTGCTTGAACCCGGGAGGTGGAGGTTGCAGTGAGCAGAAATCGTGTCACTGCACTCCAGCCTGGGTGACTGAGAGAGACTCCATCTTGAAAAGGAAGTAAGGAAGGGAGGGAGGGGAGCAGGGGGAGGGAAGGGAAGGGAGGAAGGGAGGGAGAGAGAGAGAGAAAGAGAGAGACAGACAGAAAGAGAGAGAGAGAAAGAGAGAGAGAGAGAAAGAGAGAAAGAAAGAAAGAAAAGAAAAGAAAGAAGAAGGAAGGAAGGAAAGGAAGGAAGGAAGGAAGGAAGGAAGGAAGGAAGGAAGGAAAGGCAGGCTATTGACTGATTTTTTGTATATTCATTCTGTATCCTTAAACCTTGCTGAACTCGTTTATCAGTTCTAGTAGTCTTTTGATGGAGTCTTTAGGTTTTTCTAAGTATACGATCATACCATCAGTGAAGATACTTTAACTTCTTCTTTTCATAAGGATGCCTTTTATTTCTTTCTCTGGTCTGATTGCTCTGACTAGGACTTCCAGTGCTATGCTGAATAGGAGTGATGCTGTATACATATCCAAAGGAATATGCCAAAAAGACACATGCATTTGTATGTTCATTGCCACACTATTCACAATAGCAAAGACACACAATCAACGTAGTTGCTCATCAATGGTGTGTTGGATAAACAAAATGTGGTACATATACACCATGGAATACTACGCAGCCATAAAAGACAATAAAATAACATCCTTTGAAGCAACATGGATGGAGCTGGAGGCCATAGTCCTAAGTGAATTAATGAAGGAACAGAAAACTAAATACTGTATGTTCTCACTTATAAGTGGGAACTAAACACTGAGCACACATGGACATAAACATGGCAAGAACAGACACTGTGGATTAACGGGGGTGAGGGGAGATGGGTTGAGAAACTGCCTATTGGGTACTATGCTTACTACCTGGGTCCAATAAACTCCTGTAACAGTCTCCACATGTACCCCTTGTAAGTACAAATGAAATCTGAAATTTAAAAAAAGAAAAACATCTTCAAAATATTTCAGAAAATCTTTGGATTATCTATTACAAACAAAAATCCACTATGAATTTCTTATCCAAACTTCATGATGGTCAGTGTTATGATTTACTCATCAGTCTAAAATATATATGTTTAACAGCTATTTATGATTTGTAATAGTTGCAAAATATTAATGAAAGTAATCTCCATCTGAAAACACTAAATGAGAGGCTACTAAAGCAGTTATTATATGAATAAATTAAGAAATGTTACCAATAATCCAGGAAAAGGGAGCTCAGGAACTTGACATATTATAGCACTTGTAAAAAGTCATTCAGGGCTCAACAGGAGCCATTCAAGGAGCCATTCAGGACAAACAGGAATTATATATAATTTGAGCATTCATTGTCTAAACATGCTGCTTAGTAAATCTTGAAAATAATCTGTAAGCTCTTAATGTTATGCAGGCTAAAATTTAACACAATAAATTGTCTTAGTAAATTTTTTCCTCCATTCCTCCCTCTCTTAGGTTATATAAAGAGTTAAAAATAAATTCAAGGTATCATAATACCTCAACCAGTGAAAGCACAACTCACAATATTTTTATACAGATAGAAGCATCCAAACACTGTAACACACAAATACGTTAAGACTGCGACTGGAAACTTAACTTAAATGCATTTCCAATTTTAAAGATAACGAAAGATTTTGCAAAAATTTTAGATTTTAGGAGAATGCTAGATACTCAACCAAAACTAGAACTATCCACATAATTATAATGTCAATATATTATCAGTATATGAACACATAATACTTTTCCATTCCAATGATATAATTTTACTAAGACTCCAAGCTTCACTGCCTTTTACTTTCCATGTAAATGCAAGATACAGGATACACCCTGAGCTGCAAGAACACTGTGTATTACTTATCTTATTATATTTCTGATTTATGAGAGCAATGAGACCAGAAGGATCAAGGGATTCTTTCCTTTCCATCAAGCACTTTATTTAAGGCTAGCTTTACCTTCCCATTTGCCTTTTATTTGCCCCATAACCCTATCCCCGGCAGCCTCCTTGTCTTCTCTCATGAATAGGTGATCCTTATCAATAAACCTTTTGTTTCTGCTGGTCACGCTGGTCATGTTTTAATCTGCCATTACCTGTGCTCGGAGCACTAACAATGTAAACATTCAAGCCACAGCCAGAGTCTCAGAAAGTGAACAGTTCCAGATACCTATCAGGAAAAGAGCAGAGCCCACAGCTTTCAGCTCTCTCCAGGACAGCAGATTTCTACCTGCGCTGTCACTCCAACTGCTCTGGGAAGTAGAACTGAGAACTCCCGGGCGAAGTCTGGTTCACTCTGAGAGGCAAGTTAAGAATCACCAGTGGTTTCACAACAAAACTGCATTCTGTCACTACTATCACCTCTCCGATAATTAGCTTGTAACTGCTTAAAATGCCAGGACTGTTTTTATAAGACTAGAAGATGGTTCACAATTGCAATAAGAAATAGAAGAAAAAAATCATATAGCTAGAAAGTAAAATATCTAGTACAATTTCAATAAAAACTGTACATGTGTATATGGTAGAGTCAAAAAAAAAAAGCAGCAGCTCTGTGGTATAGCTATGTAAAAACATCAGTGCTCTCAGACTACAATCTGCAGTGACATTTACTTGACCCCAAAACAGCTGGCCCAAAAAGGTAAGAATCTGCAGAGACTTTGGAACTAGACACTACCTGAGTAGACTCTGCAGAGACCTTGCCTAGGCACTGGCAAAGCAGTGGAATCTGGAAAGACCTTGCCTAAGTACCACCTGAGATCCTCAGAGCTCAAAGCAGTGCATTCTAATGCTACTAAACCCCACCAAAGCCAGCCACCTTACGCAATGCTCAGTAGAGTCCACCAGCCACTCCTGCATCCTCATCTCCACACTGCCCTGGACCAAGAACTTGTCTTCTCATTGTTCCTACCCTCCTTTTCTAAGCCTTTTTACTCTGTCCTTTGGAGTTTTATTCTACTATTTTTCTAAATTCCTACATCCTCCTCAGATAATGCTCTCTCACCTTCACACTCCTAACTGGACTGAAATCTGGCCCCATCTCTCTTTTCTTATTTATTTAAAAAGATTTTTTTAGAAAGAGTGTCTCATTCTGCCACCCAGGCTGCAGTGCAGTGGCAGGACTGTAGCGCAATGTAATGTCGAACTTCCGGGCTCAAGTGATCCTCCCACCTTAGCCTCCCTAGTAGCTGCAACTACAGATGTATACCACCATGCCCAGATCATTAAAATTTTTTTTTTTTTAGAGATGGAGCCTTGCTATGTTGCCCAGGCTGGTCTTGAACTTCTGGGCCCAGGCGATCTTCCCACTTTGGTCTTCCAAACTGCTGAGATTACAGGTGTGAGCCACTGTGCCCAGCCCTCATCTCTCTTAATTATGGGATTTTTCTCCAACCAGTCATGCTGTTTCATACTCCTGTAGTTAGCAAATGGCTCTCCAATATTACAAACCAGACCTCTGCACTTAACTACTGCATCTGTTTAGAGTCACTGCTACTCATAGGCTATGCAAACTCAAAGTTAATAAACTTTCCGGTGCTGTGTTTTCCTTATCTTTAAAGTTGGAAGAACAATTCTATGTACTTCACAGGGCTGCTGTGAGGCTAAAATGGATTAATTAATGTACTTTTTAGCAGATTATGTGGCTAAAGTTAGCCATTTAAATTTTAAACTTTCTATATACTTAGCCTATCCTGCCTTATCCACTTAGCACACTCCTCTTCATCCTTAAAGTCTTGTTCAAGTATCACTTCTAGGAAGCTATTCTGACAACCTCCTCCCCCAGGTAGAGCCAGCCACTCACTCTATTATGTCCTTAATACACTTTATAATCTAACTCTACTAATGAGATATTTCTGAACAAATATAGTTATTGACACGGTGCTCTCTTACATTCTAATGTATACTTCTTGGGAGGAATAATTTTCTTCATTAATTTCTGTATTCCTAATACCTAGCATGTTGCCTGCCACAATTAAAAAAAAATGCTGGTGAGGCTTTGATGTGAATCATTATTAATCAATCTTGTATAGCTTTCTAGGCTAGAACAGGAACAAATGTTAAAACATTTGTCACAAAATTCTAGCTGGGTGTGGTGGTGTGCACCTGTTTCCCAGCTACTGGGGAGGCTGAGGTGGGAGGACTGCCTGAGCCCAGGAGGTGGAGGTTGCAATGAACTATGATGACACCATGCACTCCAGCCTGGGCAACAGAGCAAGACCCTGTCTCAAAAAAAAAAAAGAGAGAGAGAGAGAGAAAGCAAAACAAAGTCATGAAATTCCATTATGTTTTGTTGGAAAGATTTTTCTCTTCTCAAGAAATAAAATCAATCATGAAAAATCACTTTAAATCACTTAGATAAGATTTAGGACTTAAAACTCTGCAACAACAAAAAACCGTGTGTGTGTGTGTGTGTGTGTGTGTGTGTGTGTGTGTGTGTGCGCGCGCTGAAAGCATGGAGGAGGAGAAAGGGAACATGAGACCTGTTGCAAACAAAAGGTCTCTTGGGAGGCAATATCTTGGGAGGCAATATTTGTCATTTTAAAGGAACAACACTTAAATGGGTAAGTTTTGAAATTAAAACTTTTAGATACCTTCCCCATTTTATCAATATATTGATACGATTTGACTAAAAGGTGTTACTCTAGCATAAAAAAAGGAAATGCCATATAGCAAATAATGTTTAATTTAGCCCTTTATATGGTCTTTACTTTTAAAATAAATATAGACAAATGGTAGTTTTTGGGTGAACTACAACTTCTGAATAACTTTCAGGGAGAAGCAGAGTGCTAGCTCCTGCCTCCACCCTGAAATACACTACAAACTCTAGGAATAGCAATTTTCTGAACAGAAGTGGGAAAAAATAAAAATCATAAAAGTGAAGTCACATATGACTGTTTTCCCACAAACTACTTGCACATGTCTTCGAATGATGGTTCCATGTCATCTGGCCTCAGTGCTCTGCTCCAGCAGTGGAAAGTGGTACAGGTAGATTGAGAGAGAACGATTCTAGTTTTTAGTTTTTATTTTCATGATACCTAGTGATTTTCCAGGCTGGAAGCCTTCCTCACTTACCTCTGTTTTTCAATGGAGGCAGTGTAGGGTGTAGGTCTTTATTACATTCGTTCCTTTCTGTGCAGCATTCAATTGATCTTCTTTGATGAGGAATGGGAGTGTCCTATAATCGAACCCAAACAGCTATTAGTGAGTTTCTTCCAAATTTCAAAGTCAAATCATCTAAAACTTTAAAAATAGTCACTATTTAGAGAACTAATTTAAAATTCTAACAATTTCACTCAAACACCTTAAATATGTTCTCCTCTATAAGGTAATTTATTTCAAGCTACCATGTATTATCTTATTGCAACTTTTGCATTTCAACAAAATTACTACTACATTTCTAATAACTAGTGTGCATTGTATAAACTGAGGAAGAAGGCTTGGATTAATGCAACAAGCTAAATTGGATTTTGAGGAAGATGCTCTAATGCGACACTAAACAAGACGTTAACAGCAAAAATAAAAATAATATTTGATTTCAAAATGAAGGAAGAATTGGTCCAATGGAAAATTTCAGTTTTCTAAATTACAATCATGTGTCACTTAAAGACAGGGATATGTTGTGAGAAATGTGTTATGAGGTGATTCTGTCATTGTGAGAAGATCACAGAGTACACTTGCACAAACCTAGATGGTATAGCCTACTACACACATAGGCCAAAAGATAAAGCCTATTGTTCCTAGGGTAAAAATCCATACAGCATGTCACTGAACTTAATACTGTAGGCAATTAAGGCACAATAGTATCCATTTGTGTATCTAACCATAGAAAAGGTACAGTCAAAATATGGTGCTATAATATTATGGGACCACCATCCACTGTCATCATACATACCATCTGTTGCTGACCTAAATGTTTTTGTGCAGCTCATGACTATACTAAAAATGGGCTGGCCAAGAAAAAGAATGGTTTTATCTTGCTTGAAACTTGTTGGAAATCTAGCCAATGAAAGGTTACAGAATCAAGTTATCTACCTTACCCGACACTGAAAATCTGAGCCTTCTAGTCCTAGGCAACCAGAAGTGACCACAGGCAACCCAGAGTCATCCTCTTCTATCATCGTGAAACAATATCCGTCTGTGCTGAAGATCAAACAAGCAAAGTGAGAAACAGAATGTGTGTGTGTGAGTCAGTGTGTGTGTGTGTGTGTGTGTGTCTAGGGGAAAAGGAAATAAGTGATGTGTATCATTTGTTTTATTGCAACAAGGAGAATGTCAATGATCTGTTAAGAGAATCCAAAAACTTCCTTTTATGAAAATGGATTTAATAAACATAAAAACATTTTGTAATATCTCCTTTGTCCAGAAACTTGTGAAAAAGAAGGATCTAACATTTCCATATAATATACATCATTAATTACCATGAAAAACCATAGATACCAATTACTGAACACTTATTTTGGCCCTTCACAGATACTACTTTTCCAGACAAATCCAGACAAACTCTGTGAGGAAGGTAGCACTACTGTTGCTTTCTATATGAGGAAACTGAGGCTCAGGGGGCTTGAGTAACTTTCAAAAGTCTTACAGTTAGTGAGAAGGAGTGCAAGGGTGTGAATCCAGGCAGGTGACTGTTTATACTGTTCTTGCTCTGAGATAGTGAAATACACTTATTTCTTATTAAAGCACAAAAACTAAAGACAGGTAGGATTTGGGATCAGCATGGCATAACTGAGATTCTGACATTTAGTACCTCTGCTTCTGGGCTGTCCTGTCATATAAAGAAATTAAGCTTTGTTGTAAGAAGTATAGGCTTCATTTGGGGGTGGGGTAAAGATGGGCAACAGAAAGAAGGGTTCTTGATAAGACAGTGGAGAGGAAATAAAATTTTAAATTCTGTATGGTTTTCCAGATTAAAAATAACTTTCACTTATTCTACATCATTTAATCCTCTCAACAATAAGAAAAAGAAAGTATTATTATTCCTATCTTACAGATGAGGAAATTAAAATTATAAAAGTGTAGCAAACTTGTACAAGATCAAAGAACAAACAGTTATGGAACTGGGCCTTGAATCAAGGGCCTCTCACTTCACCATGTGTTTTCTGCTATGCCCTTTGGGACTAAAATAAAAAACACATCTGTTATATACAGAACTGTTTGTAAACAGACATTGATATCTTCACAACTTTGGGTGATGAATGCCAGCAGACTCTCAATATAAGTCATAAACCAGCACTGAATGTCTTAAGAAATAAAGTACTAAACTATATCTCTATCCTTTTCTCATATATATGCATGCTCAGCGTCCAAGACAGATATGGCAATGTAATCTTGAAAGGTCATGGGAATAAAGCTCTGAGAACGATACTAGCCATGATTTGTGGGTTTGTCTATTCTGTCTTAGTGGTAGCAGCATGCTGCTATATGTTAGCCCTTCAGTTATTATCAACACCCTCAGAATTGTTTACTTGGTTTATAAGCCTCAAGTGGTCCAAAATACTTCACTTTATAAGAGCCAGCACAACAAAATTCAAACATACTAATGAATGGCTAAAAAGGGCCAATGATAAATCCCTCTCTTACACCAAGGTCAAAAAGCATGAATATTGTTGTGGAAGAAAGACTGTCTCTGAACAGCCCATGCCTTGAACTCTTCAGGCCTTTTTAACCAATTTACTGAAATTGCTATAAAAATGTAAAACATGTAAACACCGAAGGGAATAATTAAAATATCTGTTCCTTAGAAATTTACTTTAAACAATATGAACAAGTAACACCTGTGACTTTTTTATTCTTTTCCTTCATATTTAGACTACATGTATAACTTACATTTCTCATCTAAATCAAAATTCAAAAATTACCGGAAAATATGGTCATCCTAATTTTATGATATCAGGAAGGTATAGGGGCTAGAGAAGTACCCTAAATTAAATCTAAAGACTAATTTCTCCTTATCATGGGTTCTTCTTACTCAAAATAGGAGTAAATAGAAATGCACTTCTAGGCAACTGTTAAGAATAAAAAAGAAATGGAACAGAAAAAGCTGGTAAAGCTATTGTCAAGTTACTGCTATGATGTCCTAGGAAATTTAAAGAAACATCAGAGACAGTAAATTCAAGCTTTAAAAATACACACCCCTTGTCTGCAAAGAGAGAGGAGCTAAAAATATAAAGAGGGGAGACCCTGAGAAAATAGTCCCTTCCCCTATAAGCCATAAATTCATAAAGGAATCAAATATTTAGTTGGAAGACAAGAAAGGAGGCGAGACAGCCATTTCAATGGAATATTAGCTGCCACAAAGCAAATTAATTTATATGCTCCTCACTGACATTGCTCTCCAGCAAGGAACATCAACTGGAAACTAGCACTACAATTACAGAAGTTCAAGAATTACTTGAAAACTTGCAACCCTAAAGCAAGTACAAATGGAAACAAAGCTATGTTCCGCAGTCAAAGCTAATCAATTTTGCCCACCTCTAAGAGACGGCTACAGGCTGTCACAATTAACTCTTACCATTGGCCTATGTGAACATTCTGCTGCCTGGTTGCCATGTTTAAGCTTAGTTTTGTATAGAGATTGTTACCCTCGTTCCCAGAGTGTTGGAAGTGATAAAAAGATGAGATGAAGAATCATGAAGGAAATAAAAGTGGAAATAATTTTAAACAAAATTGAAAATAAGTGAGATATATACATGAACATAGGATGAATCAGGGAACTGTAGTAATGATTATGAATGAAATAAAAAGACAATTGATGTAACATTTCAAAAATGCTGTCCCTGTGTTATAGACGAAGAAAAGTGATAGCAAAATGAAACAGTAGTTGAGTGCACAAGATATTCAGTCACCAGTGCTAACTGCCTTCTGACATAATGTTAACTCATGAAAAAGCAAAGCACTTGAGAATTTAAAGACTGCATGAAGTCAAAGCAGTGATAATGCAAGTCTTGTTTTTCTTGAAGAGGATTCAGGGAGAGAAGAAAAAGAATATGAAAAAGAAAGAAAAGCAAAACAGGAACAATTTTGTTACAATTCTTGGATGATTATACAGGTTCTAGGCTCCTTAAGTTCCCCAAATATTCCAAAAGCAAAGGACTGTCTAGAAGGAACATCTAGAAAAATCATCAGGCATTTAACCACCTCAAGAGATTTTCAGTGTGCCCAGGTGAACATACACTTGCAAAAAAGGTGTCTACCTGTTTTAAAACTTCAAGGGACCAAGCGATACTCTTTTTAGGTAGATACGCATTCAGAGAATAGATGCATTTATTATGGTCAAAAATTTATTTCATTTATTATGGTCAAAACAGATTTATAATATAGCCTTCTGGAACCCAACTCATTCATTAGTTGTTGTAGAATGGTTAGAAACCAATTTTAGAAGATGTCTAAAACTGCACTGATAGCATCTTTATTTCACATGAATATAGTGTTTACAAGGTTTACCCAAACTTTGGTCCCTTTAATTCTATTATTCCACTAAGATCTTATGTTTCTTTATTGTAAACCCCAGGGTTGTTCATATAGCCACCACAGTTGAGAAGAGACTATTGTAGAACTTTTCCTCTAACAGTTTAGATCTTCATAAAGATTCATTTAACTGTAAAACAATTATTTAAAGTATTAGTTAAAAAGAGTTTATCTGCTCTGTTCAATCAAGTGATAGGAAATTTGAAAGCATTATATTTATATGATGGGTATCTATCTGCTCAGTTGCACCTGGCTGGAAAGATTAACAGTTTTCCTACAACAACTCTTAAATTTCTTTTGAATTTCTTTTACATTTTAGTCAGAATTGATTTTTAAAGGTTAACTGATTTTAGGTCATCTGTAAACAAGTTCTTAAGAACATCTTTTCTTCTAAAATATCTATTTCTCACTCAAGGGAGTAAAGTCAGTTTTCAGTTTTTGTCACAGGTAAACGCAAAGATACACATAACTTTTAGAATTACCATTTAAAGGGTGCAGCTTTTTAGTCCATTAACTAAAATAGCTGAAAGCTGCTCATAGCTTTGTTAACAGTGGTATGTTTTACACTTATCAAGCATACTATGACTCCAGCAGAGCTGGGTGCTGAGTATGCAAGGGTGCATTTTGAGGAACTCATAGTCTACGAAGGCCACCAATCCTGGAAAAGAGAAAAGTCATTTAACTTCCAGGAATAGGGACAGACATCATAAGCTGCCTAAGTGTTTTCTACTGATTGTGAAGTAACCAAAGAAGAATGCTGAGTGTGGTAATTATTAAAGTAATAGAATCCTACTTCTTTTCCCCTATCATCTTAGATGATGGATTCCCATAGCAGTGGACGGAATATAGCGTGAAATACATATGAGTCTACTTTCCCCTTCCCTGGCTTTCCTTCTGAGGGGTCACAGTATTGGGAGAAGGTGAAGTTACAACATTAACGACGAAGTACCAATGTGAGAGATGCCCCTTTTATTTATCCTCAAGATCATGTAACTATCAGACATCCTTCCCTGGTACCCTTGCCAAATGATTTAGCATTTTGTTTATTTTTTCTATGAGGTACAAGATTTTTTGAAATTGTCTCAGTTTTTACATTCAACCAGCATTAGTATAATTTCACCCAATGCGGACCCTCACCACATCTCACCTTGACAGCTCTGAGAGCCTTCCTGCAGGACTTCCTCTCTCCTCTCCTAACTCTAATCCATTCCATATAGCAAGCCTGATAAATCCTACATTGTCTCTGCTCAAAAATCTTCAAGAGTTCTCTCTGTATAATTTTAAAGCGCCCTGCACTATCACTTTCTATTAACTCCAGCAACAAACTGGGACCGTCTAAAATTCTCATTGATGACTAATGAGAGGTACAAGAGGAGAGTTATTCCTTATAAAAGCCTCCATATGTGAATTTAAAATCACAGCCTCTTATAACTGAATGTTCTCACTCATAGGTGGGAATTGAACAATGAGAACACATGGACACAGGAAGGGGAACATCACACACCGGGGACTGTTGTGGGGTGGGGGGAGGGGGGAGGGATAGCATTAGGAGATACACCTAATGCTAAATGACGAGTTAATGGGTGCAGCACACCAACATGGCACATGTTGTATACATATGTAACAAAGCTGCACATTGTGCACACGTCCCCTAAAACTTAAAGTATAATAATAATAATAATAATAATAAAAAGAAGTTCTAATGAAGAACCCACCATTCTCTTAGGTGCAATGGTTTGAAATCAACATCTTCTACTGGAAAAAAATAATTAAATAGATCAATATTTAAATGGCCTGGGCAACCGTGGAAAAAATAAAACCCTGGATGGTTTATAATGACATTCAGTATGCAAGGTAAAACGTGCAAACAAGCTGGAACAATGCACGCTTAAATCCTCTGAGACCTACGGTCAGGAGCACCTGTTTGAAAACATACCACCACACTCAGTAAGAGGTTTAAAAAGCCTGAGTTAACACAAACTTTGTAAAAAGGCTCCAGCCCCTAAGCTTTTCCTTCTTCCACCTGTGACTCTTCAGGATACAGAGTTGGAGGCTTATCTAATTCCTCATTTAAGCAGCCTGGTGTCATTTGCACATCCTTTGTGCAAACATTCAATTTGATTTATTACATCTGTAAACCCTGAAAACTGCCCAGGCAGGAGAATTCTTGGTAAGAAACCAATAAGATAAGTAAAGAAGTATTAAAGATTGTCTTTGAAGAAAATAGTCAAAAATAATTTTTTAAATGCATAACATGCGTGAGGAAGTGGAGGGACTTGAGAAAGGTGGTAAGATAGAAACAAAAATGTGATTACAGACCACATCAAGTAAAACAAGGAATGATATGCAAAGCCAGATCTGATTATATAGAGAAAAAATATATAAACAAGGCTGAGATAACACTTGCTAGGACAGGAAACTGAAACAGAACACTGGCATGTTGAAAGCCACATAAGGAGAGTTACTCAAGGAAACTATAGCACTCAAGGTATGCAGTGATGGTCTGTCATCCTAGGAGTAGAATCTGGAAATGGAACTCGATGGATTACAACGCAAATTGACACATGGAAAGATATTTAGAAAACAGATGGTATCTCGAGGGAGAGAGGACAATGGCTTTACCCCTTACTTTGAAATATAAATATAAAAAAGGCTCTATTACTGTATTCAGTCACACTATGTTTGTACTACATCCTTTAATGTGAATATCATGAGCAGTGGAAATGGCATGGATTTTGGAAGCAGCCGTATCTGCACCTGACAGAGATCAAGCCAAGAATGACTCTGGCCTTGGCGAAGGCTGATAGAGTAATTAATGGTACTGAAAAGGAGTTTACAAGCCTCTAAAACCTTGCACATGTCCTCTAAATTAGCATGTGAGATTTCAGGTTCTCTTTTAAGTACTATTCACTCTTGCCTCCTTTTGGATTATTCTCTCCAGGGAGGTGGAAGTGATAATGAACATGAAACCTACCACAACACTCAGTTTGACTAAGATCTGGGTGGTACAAGGCCTCAAGCCAGACAATTTAGACCAGCCCTTTTCTAAGGTACACATTAGAAAATACAACCTTATCCTTTAAACTGTTTTACCTAGAAGGGTAATACTTAGTGTAGCATTACTCAAGGTGTGTTCCCCTGCAGGTCAGCAAACTGCTTGCTACTGATCTGGGAAGGGGTGAATTTAAAAATGAAAACTTGTATAGCAATCTAAAGGAACAAATTTATGTCTGTTGAAGGTAAATATTAGGCAATAAAAATGGAGCATGTATTTTGTAAGTATTTTAAAAATTAATTTTTCTAAGAATTTTTTTATTATAATTTAGCAAAGTATCAGTATACAATTTATTGTGGAGAGAAAATTATCTTTCACTAGAGATAGCCTGAGAAGTACCGATTTGGAGGGTAGAGAGTAGAGTGTGCTTACAGGAATGGAAGTAGAAAGTCCTGGATTTATATAGGTCTTAGGACAAAGAAACAAATGTGGCCCCTGTGAGTCACATATGACTGATCTCAGCTCACAGGAAGATTCAACTGGAATCAATACTTCATTAGGAAAATACATGTGCCTTTTACTCAAGAGTGAATGTTTGCTCCTTTCAGAACCAATGTCAGAACTGGCCGCTGGCCAAGAATTCAGGACTTTGGAGTCCCGGCCACAATTTTTCTATCATATCATCATAACTATGGAAAATTACTTAACTTTTTAGAGCCTCGGAATTCTCACCTAGCAAACATAGATAGTGCTACATTCTTTATAGGAATGTTATAATGAATAAAGAAAGGTAAAAGTAAACATGCTAATATTTATTAAAAATTCAATAAATATTAGTTTTCTGTTAACTTCTACAAGTTAATCCATTGATGTTGACGGCAATGGTATATCTATGTTCTTTTGAGGGATTCCATTTTTACTGTGGCTGTTTTTCTTTCTTCTGTATTTTTGTTTACTTTTTCTTTGCTGTCATAAATCAAAGTTTGACAACCATATAACACAACCCATTTTAATCTGACTTCCATCTCTACTACATTAAATATCTCTAAACTGCAGTTATCAGTGTCTATAAATCTGATTGCCATTTTTCAGTTCTTATTCTACTCTCTAATAGATCCAACATAGCTGACCTTACTACCTCTCTAAGTAAACCTGGCTTCAGTGACACCATACTCACTGCTTTATTGTGAATTCTTTAGTATCTTGCAGACATCCCCTTTACCCAAGCATTAAATGTCTCATGGCCAAGTCATACACTGGTAGATTGTTCTATTATTAATCCCAATTCTTCATACTTTACCAGGGACAATGCTTCCCCTTGACTGTGACCTTGATTTTGTCACTTGATTTGGAAAATTCAATGTCAGAGGACACAATATGAGCAGAAGCCTTAAAAGATTACTCCTTTACACTCCTGTGAGAAACAATATGCCTTGGGTAGCTGCTGATCCAAAATAAAAAAAAAAAATGAAGAAATGTGCAGCAGGCCTAAACTCAAACAGCAGCATGAAGTGAAGCCCACCTAATCCCAGCAGAGTGCAGCACGGATACAGCCTCCTTACAAACCCCTGAATGAAAAATAAGTGTTTTTAATTATAAGCCACTGTGGTTCTGAGGTTATCTGTTTCACCGCAAACAGTGACTAATGCTATGCACATTTTGACCTCTCTCCTCAACCTCTTCTCTGAGCCCCAGATCCATATCCAACTGCATACTGATACCTCTACTCAGATACATAAAAATCCTCAAATGTATCATGTCCAGATTGGAACTTGGTTCTTTTCATCTGTCCTCTTTCATTAAAAGTCTACCTTATGCATTTAAATCTACATCTGGAAACTTATAAAGCCTCTCTGGTTGTCCTCCTAGATGGTATCTAATCCATCATCATACAGCTCTATCTTCTAAAT
Organism: Homo sapiens; assembly: GCF_000001405.40. Lineage (NCBI taxonomy): Eukaryota > Metazoa > Chordata > Mammalia > Primates > Hominidae > Homo > Homo sapiens. Next base: position 95,106,484 of record NC_000004.12, on the reverse strand, counting down.
ATTTCTCAAATAGATCTCACTCACTCCTACACCAGCACCACCCTAGCTCAAGATCATTTTCTTGCACATGAACTGATTTTACTGAATCCACTGTTCAATTTCCCTGACCTAACTGTTCTTGAATTCACTTCTGTCTCCTTCTAATACATCCAATATTCTGCAGCAAAGAAACAAATCAGATCATGTCAACCCTACCACCACTCCTGCTGCAAAACTCCCTTCACTTGCTTCCCAACACCCTTAGGAATAAGATCACGTTCTTAATATAGCCCACCAGGTCACAGTCACTATACCTCCTGTCTCAGCTCCTACCACTATGCTCTACTGTTCCTACTCCCTGATCCTACTCCCTGTACTCTAGAAAAAACAGTTTCTTTTGAACACGCCAAGCTTCTTCCCACAACAGAATTTCCACTGCAGATACCCTGACTGAACACTTTCTATCAAACCAACTTAGGACATCCAAATGGCTTATCAGGAAAACAGGACAAAATATTTGGAAAATCCTGATCACCAGGACAATAGCTCAAATGACACACACAGGCGTATTCTGAATACCACAGACTTAAGACACAATAGTAAAATACCCCACGCTACTTTGTTTGCTCCTGCTAATTTTGCTTTCTTTCAAACATTTTTAAACTCTCCTGATACTTTTTCTATTTACTATAAAGAGGCAGTGTTTCCCTGGAAAAAACTGAGCTTTGGAATCGTTTTACCTTGGCAAAAAAATTCAGTGGTCACAACTTTGTAGTACAAGAGTCAAGTTACTAGACCTCTCTGGATCCCAAATTTCATTTGTCTAAAGGTGAGAATAAGTTGTTTTGCTGATTAAATGAGATATATATTTATGAATACACCCAGGTTTCCCTCCCTGTGTTACTCAGTCATGTTTCTTGTGCTAAATATACAAGGTTCTTGGAATACCCTGGTAAGCTTATATTAGATTTTGCTTCATGGGAAACTTAAAAACCTTTTTTAAAAAGCTCTCAGAAAGGAAAAAAAAAAAGCATTCAACTCAGCTTTGCGTACCTTCTGGCTAATGAAGCCTCAAATGGTTGCTCAGATATTCTACCTGGGCTCTAAACCTAGCAGTCCACCTTTCTATTTAAGTCCACGCCCTCTCTTGAAGCTTAAGGCACACTCTGCTTCTCTGACATTTTAACTCGAGGGCTGTGCTCTTCTAGATAGCTGACCCACTTCTCTCTTGGCACACACTGGCCTCATTAGGCTATAGCTCTTTATCCACTGTTGACCTTACCGTAAGGAGTAAATGCAGCTATAGTGATCAGAGGAATGGATGGAGCTGCATAAAGGCATTTAAGGAAGAAAAAGGCAAAATAGTTCAGTTTCAAATGTTATAAAGTATCTATAAGAACATGATTACCTATTAAAGAGTATTTTCTAGTATTTGGACAATGTCTTTCTTAGCAACTTGGGGAATCGCATGAGCTCTACCACTGCACTGCTTCCCAGAGTCAGTTTATGAATATTCCCAGCAGCTTAGGTGTTCTTTCCAAAATACTAACATCAGCATGATGAATGCTTGAAACAAACAAACAAACAAACAAACAAAATCACACGCATTTGACAGCCTCTGATGTTTAACTAATTGTGGGGACCAGGTCTTTTGAAAGAAAATAATTGGCATTTGCACCTTTACCAGGAGCCTGGGATCTGAGGTCTGTGTTCATGTGTATGTGAGCTGTCTGGAGGGATCAAAAAGAAGCTTAGAACATTGTTTCAGGGTGAAACACAATTCAATATTTCTCTAATACAAGCACAGCTCTAAGAGTTTACGATAGTGTTAGGCATTGTTCTCTAAAATGTGTTCTTTGAAACACTAGCCTACAGTTGCATAGTTGAAAAAGTGTGACTTTTTGTTAAAGCTAGCTTTAAATCATTTATATCACCAACCTGCAAATATTGTTGACTGAGTCTTCTGGACAATGGTGGTGGCATTTACAACGCAAGACCTTTGGACGGGGGGTGGGGGCTGTACTCTCACCATCCTCTTTCTTGGTGCCCACATTTAATTTTCCTGCACTTCGCAAAAGCATGTTATCAAGGAAGTTTGCTGAAAGAAGAAATAGTGAGAGTTAGGCATCTGTGGGGTAGACTACCCCAGTCTTCTGTTCAAACGAAAACATGAGATTACATTTTAAAATGAAGTATTCAAGATACTTAAAGATTTAAACAGAAAAACAGACATTTTGGTATTTTGATTAAAATCATGTCTTTTACCTAGTATACACCTCATACAGAATAAAGAAAGACCCATAATCCTTTCAGGAGGATATTTTATGTATTAAATTGTAACAGCTATATTTAATACAGTGCAAGGAGCTCAATGAGACATTATATAGACAACCTCTACTATATCTGGTAATTCCATGGGTAAACACTATCATCCTCATTTCTCAGATGAGAAAATTAAGACTCAAAGTTTAAGAGATCTGCACACAGATAATGGATAGACTATAGACCCAGCATTTAAACTCAAATTGTTTCAGCTTTAAAACTGTCTATCTACCATATCACAGAGTCTCTCTACTTTAGGTACTATTATGTATATTATGTACTTCTTTTTAAAGAAATTATGAGAAATATTTAATCTGTAAAATTGGGTAAGAAGACAAAAACTTAGTTAATATCAAGACACATTTCAAAAGATACATCTTCCCCATCAGCATGGGGAAATGCAAAATGCCTACCTATTACTGTAGTGATATTTCTACCATCTTTGATAGAAGGCACCATGGTAGACATGATCTCTTAGAAAGAGATATTCTGGGTTCAACATTAGGCTTTACTATTTACCAAGTTAGTTGTCCTTAGATAACTTTATAAATAATCTTGTGACTCATGTTCTTATCCTTAAAATGGAGATAATTATAGACACCAAACCTCATGTCAAGAGCTTAGAATGTTTATGTTACACAGAAGAGGGCATGCATTAATTATTACCTATTTTGTTTCAGGCGTTGTGGTAAGAGCTCTTATACATGCCATGTAACTGCATAAATTGTCACCGTGAGCAGTTTTCAATTTAAAATCTCTCTCATAACACATTTAGCTTATCTATAGTGAAATCTAAGATCAACAAAAATATTAAAAAATTGCTGGGTTAAAAAATTGAAATTTTAGGTCAGAAGTATAAGATATGCCACATATTTGTTATATTTTTAAACCAAAAATGAAGGCCTGCAGGTAATGGTTCCATCAGAGAATTAGAAGTCTATTTTTTTTAATCTGTGATAATTTTTCCTGACCTTCTGCATGTATAACGAATTATTCAAATTCTTACAGAAAAAAATAGTTGAAAGAAAAAGCAATAAAATATGTTGTCAATATATCAGAATTTTCTCTCTATTAACTATAATATTTCATTAGATTATTCAAATTTATAAAAGATGTGCATCTAACTTTCTCAAACAGTTTCCTGTAAATTTTGTCCAGAAAAAAAAAATGTTGATTGCAGTGGGCACCTGTGGCATATGAGAAGATTGTCGTATGCAGAATCCCACCCCAGCCACAGTGATTTTGATTCTGTAGGTCAGAGGCGAGCCAGGAAATGTGCATATTCAACAAGATCTCATGTAATTCTGAAACAAATTACTTGTAGACTCCACTTAGAAAAACCCTAGATTAAGCAAATAATATGTAATCCAACCACACAATTACTCCCAATACATGTATTATTTCTATATAGTATGCTCGTCCTTAGGTTAAATTCCCAAATAAAGTGAGGTTAAATAGTTCACGTCACTGCCTTATCTTGAAAGCCATTTGTTCCAAGTTTGTCCACATGGGAGTGCAGCACCGCTTGCTATGCCAGGGTAGAGTGTGTAGGTGTACCTATATCTCACCCTGTCATGGTAAGCTCCTTCTTTCTAAACCTGGTTCTCAATGTTACTGCCTTTATGACCTGAGTCACCTCAGTAGACCAAGTAATAAAAATAGAGTATTTAAAATTTATTACTTCCTGCTTCCTTTCATACCAGACCCTTTATTTTTGATGCTTTAAAACACAATAATAAAAATTCATTTATGATGCAAATGTCTACTACCAAATATGTATTGGGTGCCCTCCCATTTTCCAGGCACAGCCTGTTTAACTAGGATGAATTAAACACACACAGAATTTACCAGCTGGTGGGAAAAGCTGTTAAATGGAACACTGACACCAAATGGTCTAAAGTAGAAAAGAAAATATCCTCATGTGATTGGAAGTAAGATGCTATTTTCTAAGAAACATTTTAAGAGACAATTCATGATTTTGTCACATTGTGAATTTATTTAAAGAGTGGTATAAAATTTGTCTAGAAGAAGTGGTATAAAATTTGGTTCTTCACAATATTGCTTATAACAACTCATATTTACAACACTAGAGGATTAGGTATATTTGTAAAATGGGATTCCTATATAGCCATTAAAATGCTGATGCAGAAGTATATTTACTGACAAGAAAAAATGTTATAGTATAATTTTTGGTTTTACTTACAGGGTATTCTAGTTATTAAATCCCACTATAATAAGAGAAAAAGGGGCTAAGAAAATGAGCCTACAATATGAGATCAAGGGAGGAGACACTAAAATAAAAGCCTGAAAAGCAGAAAGACAGGCAGTCACTTGTCTACAGGATCAAAATTGCTGTGGCTCAAGGTCGGATTCTGCATATGACAATCTTCTCATATGCCACAGGTGCCCACTGCAATCAACATTTTTTTTTCTGGACAAAATTTACAGGAAACTGTAGGAGAAAGTTAGATGCACATCTTGTATAAATTTTGAATAATCTAATGAAATATTAGAGTTAATAATTAGAGAGTAAATTCTGATATATTGAATTGATAATAAAGCTACAAAAGCTGATTTTTAAGCCAAATGTGGGGGGAAAGCTAAGAAGCAAAGCTTTACTGCTTAACACCAAAAAGGCTCCAGAAACGGTATCAAAGGTACTTCTAAAAGTACTTCTAAAAGGGGGAAGGGGATATTAAAATAGCATGAGGCTGAAAATATACATACAGTAATTAGAACTTCAGATATCCTTTCCTATTCCCTACACGCTAGCAGTATTCTTTCCTACCCCTGCAGGAGATTAGAAGGGTAAAAGCAACACACATATCACTGAGATGCCTTCTTTACTTTTCTATTTTACCATCAAGGCCAAGGACTGTAGGACACCAAGCACAGAAGAGGGCAGGAGTACCATCTTACTGCAAACATTCAGTGAACATTCACACTGGATGTTGCCTCCTCCAGTTCACCTTCCCCACATGGCTTCCAGAACTCAATGCAGCCTGGTACGCGCCTTCTTTACTGGGTAATTTGACCAGGTCAAGAATAAAGAGCATAAAGATAGTAATCTTGTGAGTTTCTCAGTGAAACAGCTCTGCAATGTTATCCTACATGAGGCCCACTGGTGACAACAGAGCTTCCAGTCAGTTCTTCTGTGATCCATTCTCATACACATGAGCCACTAATTTAGGGTAAATAGGTATTTGAAAAAACCTCAAAGACTGAGAATAAAACAAACACTACTTGGAAGAAGTAGATTATATTAAAGAAAGTAAAGACTTTAAAAAATTATTATTAATACTCTCATCTTACAAAAATACATTATATCATGAAACAAGAACACGTTGCTATAAAAAGAGAATAACAAGTAAAGAACTTTAAAAATATAATTGCATAAATGAAAATCCCAGCAGGTGAGCTGAAAGATAAAGATTAGGAAATCTACAACACAGTACAAAATACAAAGATGGAAAAGTAACTTAGAGCATGAATCCAGATTTAACATCTGAATAATATTAGCTCTAGAAAGAGAGACTTGAGAAAACAGAGGAAAGAAAATCATCAAATAATCATGCACAATTTTCATAATGAAAACTCATGAGTTCCTAATTTGAAAGAACCCATATAGCCCATGTGAATAGATCCACACCACATCACTGTAAAATTTTGTAACACTGTAGACAAACAGACACCCTAATTTTTTTTATAGAGAGGAAAAGTGAGGGAGAGAAAGAGAAAAGACATAAAAAATAAGTATGGCATTGAACTTTGTTGAGAAAAACTAGAAACTAGAATAAAATAGAACAATGCCTTCAAAAGTCTGAGGGAAAAATTTTCCAAATCAGAAATAAATACCTGGGCAAATTAAGAGTGAGGGCAGGGGAAAAAAAGCATTTTAATATTTTCTGAGTCTCAAAAATTTACCTCCCATGTATCTTTCTCAGAAAGTTATTGGAGGAGATATTCCTTCCAAATGAAGGTATAAACAAGAAAAAAGATGGAATAGGTACCTGCTAATGGTAGATCCATCCCAAGAGAAGACGAAGCTTACCTCCAAGATAATGCTAAATGTGGATAATAAGATGAGACATTGCATAGGACTTCAGGAGCAAGCAGGCCTCATTGAAGGCAGGTCAAAAGATGTTGGAAGAGAGAACTCTAAGATGTTGAAATTAATAAAACGACTTATGTATTTTAAATTTAAACTGGGAGTTTGGAAACGCATTTGTAATGAGAACACAGGGGACTAAGTAACCAAATATTTAAACTCTTATACAGACGAGAGATGGGAATATGTACGTATGTAGTAGGAGCAGGGATGAGAAAAAATAACTAAATCCTCATCTTTGATAGTGGAAAGTCAAAGGTAATGCCTAAAATTGAATAATAAAGAAAGAGTAGTACAGTTATTTATTTAGAGATACAGATGAAAATGCCAAAACAACGAAAAGAGGTATAGGTGTAGTTGCTACGCGGAAAGGAGAATTTGGGAGGATGTTTGTTAAAAAATAATAAATAAATCTCTTTCAACTATGTAAAAGCAAACCTACTGTAACGTGTGTGTGCGTGTGTGTGCGTGTGCGCGCGTGAAACAGAGAGAGATGTATAGAAGGATTCACATCACCATATAAGCACTGATGAAATACATGAAAATCCTGCATCTTTTAGAAAAATGTGATTATCTCTGTCAGGGAATACTGAATTTTATATTATCAAATTTTTACAATCTACTTTCAAAGGGGCCATAATTCCTCTTTCTACATTCCTGTTTCTATATCTGCATGGATCTATGGAGTAGCAAATTAGGACAGATAATAGTTGGAGCTATTTAAATGCATTTACAAATTCCTTGTCCATTCAATATAAGGAAGTAATTAGTCACATATCCTGATGTGGAATAAAGCACATCAATGAACAATGAAGGAATGGGACACCAAAAGAGAATCGAGCCAAGAAGGAACTTCTCTAGCTAATCTTCATGATGGTATTCCCCTCTGGATCAATGACTACGGCTTGGTAGTTAACACTAAATCCACTGATGGCTCACCATGTTTTCATGTGTTATGTTTACACGTGTGCTTAAATTGTTGGTAAATCTACATTCTATAATCTACAATCTGCACAAGTCACAATATTTCCAATCACCTGATAACTTTAAAATAATTGATGGCCGGGTGCGGTGGCTAATGCCTGTAATCCCAGCGCTTTGGGAGGCTGAGGCAGGCAGATCACGAGGTCAGGGGATGCAGACCATCCTGGCTAACACGGTGAAACCACGTCTCTACTAAAAATACAAAAAATTAGTCGGGCATGGTAGCGGGCACCTGTAGTCCCAGCTACTCGGGAGTCTGAGGCAGGAGAATGGTGTGAACCTGGGAGGTGGAGCTTGCAGTGAGCCCAGATCGCGCCACTGCACTCCAGCCTGGGTGACAGAATGAGACTCTGTCTCAAAAATAAATAAATAAATACTTGATAATGTGTAAGTTAACAGATATAAGGCAAGGCGGAAGAGAAGCAGCAGCAGAATGAACCTGGGGAGACTCACCTTAAACGCTAAGAAAACCATGAAAAAGAAAGATGGTAAGATGCACATGTACCCTAAAACTTAAAGTATAATAAAAATAAATAAATAAGTAAAAATAAAAGCCACAAAAAAAAAGATCTTCATGTGTACTCCACATTTGAGAAAAGGGCCAATGAGAAACTGCACTGTTTTATCTAACTTTATAATTATGCAAAGGTATTTATACAAGGATCACTTTAATATCAAGTCATACTGAAGTTGTACAAAATCCAGCCTCACAGACACAAGTCAGGCATTCTGGATCATAAACAAGACAGAACATATCAGCTATGACATTAAAAAGGTAATTACATGCATATATAGAAATAATCATTTTATGAAAATATGAATTTGCCTGGTAATTATGATGCTGAAATAATAAATAGAAGAAAAGACAAATGACATGTATTCATAATAAATGTAAACATCAAGATGACTAACAAACATCCAGTGGATTAGCAATAATGAAGATATATCCCAAATATCAGATATCTGATTAAAATAACATATAAGAATGTACTTTCTCACATTTTATTATATTAGTATCCTAATATACTAGGCAGCCATCAAAAGAGATAAAAGATACATTTAGTTGACTCATATAAATATTTATTAATGAAATCCTCATTTTACTTGATTTTGTTTTAGTTTTATAAAAAATGATAACCCTTGAAAACAACTGGAAGGTATCTAACCATTAAAAAAATTAAATGTAATTTAGTACATTCTGTTTACTAAATCAATAGAGTAAAATCTACAAAAAAGTTTTTCACCAAAGAAAGTCAGGCTGGGCGCGGTGGCTTACACTTGTAATCCCAGCACTTTAGGAGGTTGAGGAGGTCGGATCATGAGGTCAAGAGATGGAGACCATCCTGGCCAACATGGTGAGACCCTGTCTCTACTAAAAATACAAAAATTAGCTGGGCATGGTGGCACATGCCTGTAGTCCCAGCTACTTGGGAGGCTGAGGCAGGAGAATCACTTGAACCCAGGAGGTGGAGGTTGCAGTGAGCTGAGATCACACCACTGCACTCCAGCCTGGCGACAGATCGAGACTCTGTCTCAACAAAAAAAAGAAAGAAAGAAAGAAAGTCAAATAGTGAATAGTTTCTAGTTAATTGTAAAGCAAATGTCAACAAAATTGATTATTTCTTCCCAAATGCATTTTAAATAATTATAGGCTTTCAATAAATATTTAAAAACAGAATCATGAATAAACCTGACAGAAAATATAAAGAAAAAAACAGAGAAAAATTACCCTTTCAGGAAATTTCTCAGGAATAAATACTATATCAAATAAGTCACTCGTTAAGAGCCCATTCCATTTTGCCATTTTTTTCTTTTATTCCTTTGTCCCTCCCTCCCCTCTCTTCTCTCTTCTTCCCTCTTTCTCTAATAACTGATCTTTAAAACAGTGTAAATCCAGACACTACACATGTGTGGTTCACTTAGCTTGTGACGTATAGTTACATATATATTAGTTATATATAAATTAATATATAAATTATAGTTTTATATATAACTATATGTAAATATATATAACTATATGTAAATATATAACTATATACAGTTATGTATATAACTATATTATATAAACTATATATAATATACAATTTATATCATATACTATATATTAAACTATATAACTATATATAATAAAGTTATATAACTTTAGTTACATATATTTAATTTGATTTAATATATATTTAAATTTAATTGAATATATATGTTTAAATTAAATATATATATAACTATAGTTATATATTTATATACCTATATATTTATATATAAATATAAATATATTTATATTTATATATTCTATATATAGATATATAGTTATATATAACTATACATAGTTATATATAACTATATATAGTTATATATAACTATATATAGTTATATATGCCTCTATATAATTATATAGTTATATATATAGTTTAGTTTACTAACTAAATTATCATGATAATAAAAAGTAAGGCTTTTGGAAGCCACTCTAAAATTGGTTCTCATTTTTCAGAGGATCGTTGGATTTTTGGCGTGCAAATAAACAATAGAATTATTTTCACAGGATGTTTGTGTGTTACTGAATCACGACTAAATTATATTCCTTATGATTCTTATAAGGAATAATACAAAAATAGAATATTAAGAATATTTCTTTAGAAATAGATTTACAGATTTTTCAGGCAAATCAATCAAATTTCATGAAATTACCTAACTATCAGAATGCAATATTGTGACTTCCATTCAATTACAAGGACTAAAAAGGAAGTTATTTTTCTTGAATATCCTGAATATCTTTTCTGGAAAATATATTGCAGTTATATACATGTTTTTAGCTATGTACATGTTTTCTATGGAATCTCTTGTAGTAGGAAATAAGGTAGAGTTATAATTTCTTTAAAGTATTTAATTGAAAACAGTGGACAATAATGAGCTGGAAGCCTCATATAAACACTGTAAAATAACTTCTTTAATGTATATAACTTAATCAGTTCCTTATTTTAAAAATATTTCTATATTATTTTATATTATTATATACTCATATACGTGATTTTTGCAGAAAAAACAAAATGCAGAACAAAAGTAAAATGTAAAAAAAATTTCATACTATTACATATCAAGAGTACAATGTTACAAAAATTAAATTTTATCTTCAAAATTAATCCATTACATCCTAAAGTGTGTTTTAACTGTATTTAGTTTTAGTAATATTCTTATGAGTTCAAAAATATCATAAATAAAAAATTTTTAATTTGTGATATAAAGGACTGTTTTATGTCATAGTCAAAAGGGTATCAAAATCCACTGCCACATTTAAATGCAGAGAGAAAAATCTGTATGAACAGTAGAGAAAATTCAAGTAATATTAAATTCAATATGTAATGCACTTAGAAATGGATATGAGACTTTAAAATTCATTAAAAAGTGACATATAATCATTTTGTGTCATACAAGGTCTACTAATAATCTATCTTCCTTTATCTTTTTCATTTTTAAACTCTTTGAATATCACAAAACTTAACCAAATGTTGATTCTCATCACTGTTCTTCACCTTCTACACCAGAGGGCAGGCAGGGGCAAGAAGAGAAATTGAAATTCATATTACACAAGTTTGCACTTTAAATGTCCAGGGTAAAGAGGTTAGTGGAAGAAAAATTTTAAAGTACTGAACTGGCTAGCAACAACTTTGGGAATGACCCATCCTACAGCTATTTGTACCGTTATGATAACAAATAATGCAAATCAATGCCCATTTTCTTTCTTAACCAAAACTAGTTTAAATACTCACAGTTTTTTTAAGAGTCTATTTCACACAGGAATAAAACTCTGATTAGAGCTTTAAAACAATATTAATTTTTAAAATAACTTTGTGACATCAGATAGTTTAATCGCTAATTTTTATTTTCAACACTTAAACCTTGAATCATTTAACTCAATTCACTGTCTAAATTTTTCAACTCTAAAGGCCTGAGTTTCATTTTCATCACCTAACCATTTTTCCTTATACTAAAGTACTTTCAAATAAATCATTTTCTATGCTCTTTGCAGCAAAAAATTTAGGAAAAAAAAATTATATATATATACACTAAATAATTAATAAAAAGTTGGGACATATGCCTAAACTTTTCTGGAAAGTAACAAAATATAAATACAATTTTTATTAAAAAATACCAGAGCAAAATCATATGTAGGGAAAGAACAGATTTTCTAATATTAACTGTGATGTTACCTACACAGGAATCTTTCTCCTTCAACAGACAGAAATCAGATAAAAGATAAGGGAAGATGTTGGTGCTAAATTTCTGGACATGCTATGCAGGAGTGAAATGTCAGATGACAAAGCAATATCAGGTATGGTCACTGAGCAGTGGAGCTAGACTTGATGACGATGTAGGGTAAAATAGACAAATGGGTTCAAACTCGAGCTCAGCTACTTAAATGGCTTAGCAAGTGACTTAACTAACTTCCTTATAGAAGACGTGGAGAGTAGCAGTACTCACTGGTTGCAGTGGGGTGGAGGAGAAATCCACATAAAGCATCAACTATGGTTCTTTGCACATAGTAATTGTCAATAATAATAAATTGTTGTTTTATGTGCTGCTGACTCTTACTATTATTCAGTTTTCTCTTCCTTTTCCCTACTCCTTTATCTCCCGTTTCTATTTGTCTTCCTTTCCTTTTCTCCCCTATTATCTTTTCCCCTTCCTGGCTCTCCTCTTCCTCAATTCCTCTTTCTTTTGCTTCATTTTACTGCCTTTTACTTTTCCTTCCTTTCTAGATTAATCACGGTGAGCAAAGAGTCTATAAAAATATAAGGTTTTCAGCTTAAGAAACATACTGAAAGTTTGTTCAAGGATGACTAAAATATTCTTATTTTCTTTCATCTCTTGGTACATTGATTCATTTAGCAAATAATCATTAAATCCATTTACATAACACAATGACCCAGAGTACTTGACGGTGTCCTCAATAAAATAACAATCTTGCTTGTAAGACAAATCAGCTACACGTGGAACACTGTGAGACAAATCAACTACATATGGAAAGCCGAAATACATATAGGAAAACAATAAAAGAGATGTCACAATGCCACATAATTGCCAAATTAAGTCCTAGACAGGAGTGCATAAGAGGGAAGATTACTTTGTGTGTGGCAGTAATCAACCAGTATCTTTTATGGAAACCATAACCACCAAAACCAGGGATATTGCCAGTTTTTAATTTCAGCCACTCATGGTCAACACTAATGAGTAGGTTAAGAGACACACTAATTTTAAATATAACTGCTGGCTCTTTCTAGAAACCAGGGCTTCATAAAATATTTGTGAGTGTTTCTATTCACTGACATTGTTTCTCTTTTCACCATACTCACACATCGACATTACACATCACCCGGGTTATGATGGATAATCATGTTTTCAACATTTTCACATCAGAAAAACCCTGCCAAGAGACCTATAAAAGCTTCAATCACTCAAACATTTTATGTGATACCAGACTATGACATAAAAAAACATAAGAAGAGTAAATATGACATACAAGTCAACAGACAACACCAGACTATGACATAAAAAAATCATAAGAAGAGTAAATATGACATACAAGTCAACAGACAACACAAACATTTATATTCATTTGTTTTCCAGGTAATTGACATAGAATTATAAACCTCAGCAGACATAGAATTATAAACCTCAGCAGGAATAGTAATTATGATAGTAATAAAAATTCTTTGGACATCATAATTACACTCTTTAAATTTAAAACAATAGCTAGCCTTTCCCTTAGGTTTTACTCTGCTTTTGAATTTAGAGAAACTCAATCAAAATGTTTATATAAATTAAAAACCTTTGAAAAATCTCTAAAACACAACTTGTTTATAAGTATTTTTAATAAAAGCAACAATATAAGAACAAAATTAACTTGACAAGCAAGTAACCATGATTTAAAAATATGCAACATCAAACTGAAGCCACTGTCACAAAATAGCATAATCTCAGCCGATAGAATGATTAAAAATTAAAAATGACTTTGTATTTTAAAATATTTAATGTGTCAATTCAGCTCCACATTGTTAGAAAAGAAACTGAACCGTGGTCTCTTTGACAATAATGTCAGAGTCAACTAGAACTTGGCAGATTTCCAAGCCAGGAGCTATGGTTTTATTCAGCAGTTTCTATGAATGCTCTGCTTCACAGAGTTCCGAAGCTAATCAAAGTAGATGTTCAACTTGCCTCCACACCAAAAATTACTCTGCAGCTTTGCAAAGCACTCCCAAGACAGCCTAGTGTATAAAACTATTTTATAGATGCATATATGTAAAGGGAAGTGACAATGAAGTCAGACAAACCAGAAACCAAATCACCGTGTTTGTGCTATTCTTTTTCCCCAAAGAAAAAACCTGGAAAACATTTAGAACCTCTCTGCTCCTAATCCTTACCATACCCTCTAATAGGAAAACTGTTAAAGGTAACCTTAGCTATTACTGACTTTAAAATATTCAAATATATTGCTAGTTCAAATATTTAAATATTTGAGGTATAAAATATAGTATATATATTTCAAGCTAAACACTATTATCAACTATTATCATCACCAATGAGTTTAAAGGTCTATCTCTGGTGAAACAATATGGAATAATGATCACCAGGAATAAAATGAATAAGAATGCAATGTAAACATTAGAAAGCCATCATAGTTTTAAGAGAACAAACTGTAAACCAAAGAAAACTGTTTAAAATCTGCAGTGCCACCCATGTGCTTTTACACTTATCTGTTGTGCGTCACAGAAAAATTTTCTAAGATAGCTACCAAAAATGATATGAATTACTAAAATATACTTGCCCTCACTTCTCCAAATGTACACTTTATCATGCCAAAACAATTTATATCCTTCCTGGTAAAAAATAAATATCTTAGCAACTATATTTTTGAAACATTCATTTGATCTAACATCTAAATCATTACATTTATACTTTAAAGAATCATTTTGCATTTTTTAAAACTCATACTTGCAAGAAAGAAACCTAGACCTTTATAACCTATGAATTTAGAAGTGTATAGTTGATACATTAATAGTAAAAGAATTCACAACATCAAAAACTATAAAAAATTTAACCACAAGACCTTTATACAACCACAACACTTGATTTTAACCTTGACAGTGTTGAAAATGTGTAGGGGCAAACACGCACTCACACATAACACAAAAGTTAAAATAATACATATAAGAACATCATTAATTTAAAAGTAAGCTAAATTATACACTACCAGAAGAGTTCGGCTACATGGTATTTTCTTGCCATGTAATTTTTTTAGACAAAATTTTTGATCCCCTTGAATTAGTCTATTTCACCATCTATGCCAAAAAAGGCTAAGTTCTAACAGCTTTTATTGTGCCAGAATTGGCTTTACTCATCTTGCTTACATTTTTTGGAGGGAAAAAAAAAACAGTCTCTGTGAGATATAAAGCTTCTCCCACTACTCACTTTTGATTTCTGTACGCTTGATATATGGTTGCCAGGCTCCCTAGGATGAGAGACATGAGGAGGAGGCACAGAATTGCTAGGGGTTTCCACTAAAAAGCCCAGCACCGTAGGCAGCACTAATCCTGCACCTGTGATATGTTATTCAGCAGTTAAGAAATGCAGCCCAGACTGTGGTTGCCTAATACAGCTCAGCTGTTTTTCTCAGTAGTCCCTTTGATTATAAGCTGGCAAGAGACATTATTCCGGTCAAGCAATGAGCTATGTTCAGGACCCATGGCATATGACAGTGGAAAGGTAAAAAAGAAAAGAAACCTAGGAGTCAAAAACAAAACAAAACAAAACAAAACAAAAAAAAAAGAAAAGAAAAAAAGAAAGAAAAGAAAAAGGAAAAAGAATGAAAAAAATGTCACTGACCACAGTGTGTTATGTAACATTTCCAGATGGTTAAAAGCTACCTCTGCGTCTATGCAAGGCAGAAAAATATCTAGAATTCATCATTTAAA
Source organism: Homo sapiens (assembly GCF_000001405.40). Classification (NCBI taxonomy): domain Eukaryota; kingdom Metazoa; phylum Chordata; class Mammalia; order Primates; family Hominidae; genus Homo; species Homo sapiens. The sequence goes on along the minus strand of NC_000004.12, from coordinate 95,091,124 downwards.
TATCTAGAAATCTATCTTTATAATATCCTTTGACATTCAGAATGCTATTTCAATATGCAATGTCTTAAGTTTATCTTAAGAGAATCTCAATTTCACAAACCAATCAACTACACAAACATTTAGAAATCTTTCATTAAAGAGGTTTACCTTTACTAAATGTCAAATTCCTTTTAAAATTTGGAAAATTTCAAAATGTTTGGAAAACTGAAGACCAAATGAATACCATTATTTCTATCTTTTTATTAAATCTACCATATCATTTGACTTGATTCATTAAAAATTTGATATAAAATTTATATTTGAGACACAGCTATCCTATTCATCATATATGGTTAAAACAGAATGAAATATTTATTAGAGTCAAGTTAAAGCCTCTAACTAGTCCATATTGATTTAAGAGATATTTGTCATACACAAATATTAAGAAATATTTACCATACACAAATATTTCAAAGTGCTGTAAGCACTTTGGGCTCAAAGAGTTGAAGAAGAAATGGCCACTATGTTCATGAACCTTAAAATCTATTTGGAGAGTGTGGCATAAAAGTTGTCAATTTTGTTGTTGTTCTTTTGTCATAAAAGGTCTGCTGATTGTTCACTCACACCAAAGGTTCACTCTATTTCCTTTTATACTATAGATAAACATAAAATCATGTTCCTCCAAGCTAGTATCTGTGCCACTTTAAACAAATGACCTGAAATCTTATCCAAAAAACAGATACCTTTGCCTAACAGCAGATGGTTAAAAACAAACCAAAAAATTCCTTTACAAAAAGAGCTGAAATGAAGAAAATATATCAATTCAAAATGTAAATATAATTTTTATAAAATGTAACTATAATTTAAATATATATATTAAAGAACATGTTAAACATTTTAAGTTATTTTTTATTGCTGTTTATATACTAATTCCCTACTAGCCAAAAAGTATATTAAAAATTTTGTTAGAAAAAAATATGCATAGGATATGTATTAAAATCAATAGGGTCAACAAAAATTCCTGTGTACATGAGAACATTCTCTCTCAACAGAATTTGACAAACCTTATAGTTTTCCCTTGTATTCAAACACCTGGGTTAGAATACTGCATTTCAATTTCCGAGTAACACCCTGAGGCCGAATGAAAGAAGAATGGTATTCAAGAAGTGTGCTGTAAGATGTTTTACTAGTATTCCCCTAATTCTACCATTAGTCTATATCCAAAGTAAAATAAGACAGTTGAATTGGAACCTGGATATATGTAAGTCTAGAGTTCATAGAGTTTTGATAATTTATGATAAATCTTTTTTCTTGAAATTATACTTAATAGGCTGAAATACTGAACCACCATCTACTTTGCTTTGATTTGTAGGAAGAAGACTGCCAAAGGACAATCTTGTTGAATTCTGGGCAGAAACACTAAGGAGAGATCTGAATTGAAACTATGTTATTATAATAATTGTGTTATCTTCAATCTGGGCATGGCACACACAGGAACATTCTGGCCTGATGCTGCTCAAGCTCTCCCTCTTTGGATAAATAAATGGCTTCAGTTTTCAAAACATTCTCCTAAAGCACTTTTATATTCTTATTTTTTAAATTGTATAACACCCAGTATACCTCAGTGGTCCCAGTCTTTAAAAGCCTTGTTAATTTTACCTGTAAATTTTCTTTCTTTATATTCTTTTATCGAATTCATATCTTCTCATTTATGCCAGTAATGTTCTCACCCATAAACTCTACCCTAAGGTCAAAATGTTTCCTTCCTCCTCTTTTAAATAACTGTCAATATGGGCTCTCCCAATAAACAAACCACCGCCAAAAAAAGAACAACAAAAAGCCTGTATCTGGGATGCTATGTGAGAAATAATTACCCTTCACAAACCCTATCTTCAGATATTTCTGTATTTTAAGCCACACCAACATAAGGTAGATGTATTTGTGTGTGTTATGTTTTTCCACCTTGAAATATTTTTAAGAAGTTGGATATATTATCTTAAATTTCATTATCAGAGTGAGTTAAGAAATAAATACATTGTATTTAAATGACCAAAGTGATCCCAAACAATCATAATACTAATATGGGGGCAAAGGACCATGGCTATCTTAATGGCCACTTCAGTCAAAATTTTCCACATTCTAAAAGAACAAATGAGATCAAACAAAACATTTTACCAAATTGTATTCATTGGTACTTCAGTTATGAAAACTATTCCCTGTATTTACCTACAGAATCCTCTATCTTCTATGTAAAAACTCAGCAAAGAATTACAGGGTGGCAAAACTTGTCAGTTTTAACTCTCATGGTCAAGTCTGTTGATCTTCACTAGGAGTCTCATAGCTTTTTTTTTTCTTCTTTCCTCTAAAGAAAAAACTTAATGGCCTTTCAAAATGAATAGGCCCGATTTATGATAAATGATTAGTTAACAATTGAAGTTTTTTAGTTTCTTTCTTTCTTGGGAAACAAAAAATACTCACTTTTATTATTAAGCCCATAATATTTGGTAGTAATACAAATATTTCCTAGTGGCTCCCATTCTCTAGCAGCAAGTCAAACAGCCTCAAGAGAAAAGTATTAAAATTGTGCTATTATGACATAGCAGATAATCTGGAATAAAACAAATCCCTCTAGGATCATTATATCCTAAAAGTTCTTTGCCCCAGTCTTAGAACATGGCACTTTTGAGCATGCTAAAATCATGATAAGGACATATTTCTCTTCTCATTTCACACCAATAAAGGAGGAAAAAAGCCTTGTCCTATAGGCACCATCAAAATAATCTACCCACCCCCAACTATGCCAGGCTCCTGTCTCTGTGGAGTTCAGTGGCTCCTCACTAGCAGGAAAGTATAAGCAGAGAGACCATTAGTTATGACATGGAGACTCTAGCTGATAATGCTGACTCACTTCAGGAGCTATTATACTATAAACAGTGTGCTGAAAGCCATTTATCTGCATTTTAGGATAAACAGCAGAAAAGTCTCAATTAAATAGATTGCAAGAAATAAGCTGCTGATGTCAAACCAAGTGAAGCTTACTTTTGAAAAGAAAAATCTGTGAATGTAATAAAATCAATATGGGACATCAGGGAAGTTAAAACAGAAAATTCAACATTTTATTTTATAATATAATTATAAACGTAACTTTCAAATTTCATAAGATCGGCTTATTTATCAAAGTTATTGCACACTACTTTGAAGTTCAAAGTAAATTTACTGAAACTTGACATTCTCTTAAGAAACAACATTTATGGTACTACTGGCACTGAGCCAATGTATGCTATCAAGGAAAGCTTTATCTGTCACTGAGCAAAAGGTGAAGTTCAATTAGGTCAGTTTTATCACTTCTTTTCCTACACACAAACTATGAGGAGAGATCATTTCTTTTCTTTCTTTTATTTATTTATTTTTTTTGAGACAGGGTCCCACTCTGTTGCCCAGGTTAGAGTACAGTGACACAATCACAGCTAACTGCAGCCTCAATCTCCCGTGCTTAAGTGATCCTCCCACCTCAGCTTCCCTTAGCAGCTGGGACCACAGGCATGCACCACCAAGCCTGGCTAATTTTTCTATTTTTTGTAGAGACGGCATTTCGCCATGTTGTCCAGGCAGGTCTTGAACTCCTGGACTCAAGCAGTTCACCTGCCTTGGCCTCCCAAAGTTCTGGGATTACGGGTGTGAGCCACTGCACCTGGCTGAGAGGTAATTTCTAAATGACTCCCTTCAAGAAGAAAACACGAGTGCTATTTTACATCTAACTGTAAACACACACACACACACATCTATCTCTAGCATGTTAAAATGCTTCAAGGAAAACACTATAAAATTAAATATAATTTATCATGGAACCATAGAGGCTTTATTCCACAATTGATTAGAAGGATATGAGACAAAGTTCGTGACCAGCCTGGCCAACATGGCCAAACCCTGTCTCCACTAAAAATACAAAAATTAGCCAGGTGTGGTGGCACACACCTGTAATCCCAGCTACTAGAGAGGCTGAGGCAGGAGAATCACTTGAGCCTGGAGGCGGAGGCTGAAGTGAGTGGAAATTGTGCCGCTGAAGTGAGTGGAAATTGTGCCACTGCACTCCAGCCTGGGTGACAGAGTGAGACTCTGTCTCAAAAAAAAAAAAAAAAAAAAAAAAGAAGGATATGAGACACACCAAGGCCTTTACTCCAAGGACCACATATAGGTAAAACACAACATTTAGAATTTATTTTTCCTACTTGCCAGAAAACAAATCAAAATCTTCTCTCTTTCATATTTCCAAATGTCAAAAGCTTTTCAAAACTATTTTGAGGTTAGCAAAGAGAACACACAGGTGTGTGTTATGTCAACTACTGAAAGCAAATAAAGGTTAGCCTGGAATCTGATCTCTCTACCGACACATTCTTGTGGGCATTACAAATGCTCCCTGAAGGAATATTACACTAATGCTGACTAATTTTTTAAAACATCCCAAATCTCATTAGATCTATTCCTTAGCAGTATTGTTCAAAGGCATGGCCTCTACTAACATCAAACTCATTGCCACTTCTTAGTAAACCTTTAATGTTTTCTCCAGTATCACCTCCTCTGTTCTGTTTCACTGACAATACAACAGGTTGAACAACAATAAAATATTCAATATCAACACATGTAAGTTTTTGTCATGTCATGAAAACTATGACAGCCCACAAACAATTAAATGTTAGGTTATCAGTAACAAATGCTTAAGAATACTGGTTCGCATTAATGGCTATGGGTCTTAAGAAAAACATTACATATTTTGACTGCTGTGTAACAAGCCTGGCACAGAAAGATGGCAACGGTACTTTCATATCTGAAATTACCAGTGTTCAAGCTAAAAATTGTATTTGCCATTCAAAACCTCTATTAAACACAAACAGCAACGAACATGACATGTTCTTAATTTTTAAAAAATAGGGACAAGAAAGGATTCTTGCTATCAAATGATGCCAATCAAGATTAGAAAAATCTTTCCACCAATAAAATGACCTAATAGTCATAGCTTTATGAATGTTTATTAATGATCCAGAATAATCATATCAGTTTATACCTTTAAAATTAACTGTCAAACATATTAACATTCATTCAAAAGATTTTGTATTTTTATAAACCCTCCTTTTTACACACACACACACACACACACAGGTACACACACACAAATATGTCCACAGTGAGGGTCAACAGGTAACAAATTATTCCCACAAAACCTGTCTCTTCTTGCCAAATGTTCCTAATATTTTATAAACCTCACAAGTAACTTACTACTGGACAAACCTTCCAGCTAATGATCAAAAATATAAAACTTCAAAATATTTTTCACTTTTTCTAAGTTCTTCATAAAATGCCTGAATGCTCATGCCCCAGAAAAAGCTAATGCACAAAACAGGATATACCACGGCACTCTCAACTTCCGCTGCAACATCAAGACTGGCTGATAACTTTGCTTATATATTTTCTATTTACACATATCAAGTTTCCCAGCATTACTTTCCTCCTCACAAGCGGTGAACCCAGAGACCTTCATTACTAACATTCCACAATGCATGGAGAAAGCAAGTTGAGGGACCGGGAGTGGTCCAAGTGTCTCTCTACTTGAGTTTATGTGCAGAATGTCTTTTTGATCTGAGATCCTTTTCTGCCTCCTTCTTGATTTCTTGTTTTCCAGTGGTTTCTCAAAAACTTTGGTATTCTTTGAGACCCAGATGTCTCCTTTCTTCCCTCCTGCACACACTGAGAGGACAGGAAACAGCAGGTGTGAAATGTTCCTGTTTGCCTCTCTCGACTTCACAAGCAACTCCTGTTTGCGAACTGTCTTTCATCCTTGCTTGCTGTCTCAGGGGAGCGACCTGCCATTGGTCTGCTGGATCCCATCTCTTCTCACACACCCAGATGTACAGCCATGGCCACAGTCCCTCTCACAGAGGATGGTTTGCTTTGATACATTCCTTCTTGGGTTATGATCAAAGAGTCATTTTCTCAATCTAGACCAGCCTGGCTAAAGAAGGGTTTTACAACAAAGAGAAAATGAGTGTATGGGGAAGAAAGGGGATGAGAACTCTGAGAGGAAAACCTGAGATGCCTGTGCTTAGGCCTTCATATCAAAATGTAAAAACTTACATACAAAACATGTAACCGGGCACCAGCTCTTTCAATAGGCCAAGTCACACGTGTAACAGGATAACTACACTCCAAGCAGGTGTAGGAATCATGATTTCTAGCTCTAGCTATGCTACTGTCTCAGAAATCTCCAGAATGTCTTGGTTAGAAAACCAGCACAGTGATGATTCACCAAATAAGACTCAGGTTGTAAACACAGGTTCTCACGATACATTTGTTAAGGTAATACTGAGTGAATGAATTAGATTATGGAAAAGACTTAGACAAACATACCTGCCTAGATTAGGAATTTAGTGCAAGGGAAGTGTCCCTGTGTCAACACTGTAATGTAGTAATGCCGCATGGGGATTGCTTTTCCCATGACCACACTCCCTGGATGGGTAACAAAGAGGGTAATAGATGTTTCTAAAGAAAGGAATCATGCACACAAAGTAGTGGCTACTCTGGTAACTTCAAAATATTCCAAAACACTACAACATGTTACACCTCTAACTGCTTCCAACTCTACCTTTACCTAAAACAAAATTTGAGAAAAGGGCATCTAACCTCCCATTGCCTAAGATTATAGAGGGATAAAAATAAATCTGAACCTGCCCTGGCCACAAACTAGAAAATCATTTACATGAAAAAAATGTATATATACACAATACACATATATATACACACACACCTACACATACATATACATACACACACACGTATAAATATAAATTTATAAAGATATGTATAGATCATGTACATACACAGAGTACTGAATATATAAAATATATAAAATTTTTTATATATAAATCTATTTATACATGTGTATATAAAGATATATATCATAAGTTAGATATATGTATGAATGTCACTGATTTAACCTAATTTCAGGTAGATTTTAAAGCTGACATCCACTTTTACATATTTAGGGAATATTACATACATATAAAATTATTTGAGTTTACGTTAGTGACTTTACTGAGGAAGGGATTTGAAAGGACTGAAACAAGACTTTACTATATTAGAGAAAGGGGAAAATGTCAGGACATACAGCCAAAAGTGAATAGTTGTGAATTTCCAAAATTAAACTAATCACAGAGTAATCTGAAAATAACCTGCATTTCCTTTGAGCTTATTATCTACAAAATATATTTAATTACATAAAAATATAGTTTAATACTGCACCATTAACTCAAGTGATTATGTTTTTCATTCTACTTAGTAAAATGGGAAGAAATTATGAAGAAACACACAAAAAAAGAGATAAGCATTATGGAGTGGTTATAGAGTGGTAAACCAAACCCTTAATTCCATCCTCCATAAGGTATCTTTGGGTTGAAGGTGAAGCATCTGCATGCATAGTATAATACTAAGAAACACCAAAAAATAGTGTGTTATCCTGAAATCTTATTAGGCTGCTCTGAGGAGATGAGTTATCTGACCCTGAATATCATAAGCACTTTCCTGTTCCAAATATTTCCAGTTCCTTTCGCTTTTTTATTACAGTAGTAACTCTCTCCTTTTCCCCTCTAACACACACACACCCTTTTTAAATCACTTCAGCTAAACTTCTAACTCTTGAGCTTCTAAGGTTTGAAAAACACTGTAAATTTTTTTTTGCTTCTACAACAAATATCAGCCTGTAGCCATAGATTATAGTTATTTACCATGATTATGGTACTTACCATGATCTTTCTGTGTCTTTATAATCTGTTTTTGTTATCATTGGCATCTTTGTGGAACAGATAAGGACAGTTCTTGCCAAAGAGGCTTGAACTCTTTTGGTGTGGTCAAGCAAAAAATAAAAAAGAATGCTTAATAGGAATGAGATGATTATGTTAAAAATATTGCCAGCTTCAAAGCAAGTTAGGGGTCACATTGTTGTACCTGCATGCCCTGAGTTACCTTATCAATAAAATGAGGTTGTAGGAAGATAAATTCTCTAACCTCTCTTGTACTTCAAACATATTATGATTCTTTTTTTTTTTTTTTTTTTTTTTGAGACAGAGTATTGCTCTGTCGCCCAGGATGGAGTGCAGTGGCGCGATCTCGGCTCACTGCAAGCTCCGCCTCCCGGGTTCACGCCATTCTCCTGCCTCAGCCTCTTGAGTAGCTGGGACTACAGGCGCCCGCCACCACACCCGGCTAATTTTTTGTATTTTTAGTAGAGACGAGGCTTCACCGTGTTAGCCAGGATGGTCTCAATCTCCTGACCTCGTGATCCGCCCGCCTCGGCCTCCCAAAGTGCTGGGATTACAGGCGTGAGCCACCACACCCATGATTCTATGTAACTTCTACTTCACTTACATGTACTCTTTTTTCAAATCTACAGCATGAAAAAAGGGTACTGAATATTACGTTAATAAAACAAGGATTCCAGATCTGCCATTTACTATTTGGGACCTTAAGCAAGTTCTTAATTTCCATTGGTCTCAAACACTTCACAGCAACAATACTTACACTTTATGGAGTTTGGGAGATTAAATGAGATGTAATCATTTATCCCCTATTACAGGTTTAGAAATCTTATTTAATGTAGTCCTCAAAATACTCTGCCATGTAAGGGTTACTACTCTCATTTTACAAATGATGAGGGGACTAGAGCTGGAAGAGGTTATTTGCCTGAGCGCAAACTACTGAGCAGCAGACAAGGTGGAAGTAAAGCTCTGTGCTCTGCGACTTTTAAAACCAGTGATTCCTCTAGACAGCAGTTCTCAAATGTTTTGTTCTTGGGACCCTTTTACGTTGTTAAAAATGACTGAGGATACCAAATTTTCTGTGTGTCTGGATACAGTTTTCGATATTTACTATGTTAAAAAAAAATTGAACAGTTAAAAAATGTATAATTCAATGGACACAGGAAGGGGAACATCACACTCTGGGGACTGTTGTGGGGTGGGGGGAGGGGGGAGGGATAGCATTAGGAGATATACCTAATGCTAAATGACGAGTTAATGGGTGCAGCACACCAGCATGGCACATATATACATATGTAACTAACCTGCACATTGTGCACATGTACCCTAAACTTAAAGTATAATAATAATAAAAAAGTATAATTCATTTTTAAAAAATAATAAACCCATTATATTTTAACATATTTTCAAGAAAACTGTGGCATTGCTCTATGTTTTTGCAAAACTCTTTAACGTCTAATTTAACAGAAGAAACTGGATGTTTGCTTCTGCACTCAATCTGTTATAGCATGTTGTTGTGATTGACATATTAAGAATAATTGGTCTCACACAGACATGTAGTTAGGAGGCTATTTTAATAGCCTTTTCATATGAGTGGTTATTCTTTAATATACACTAAAATTGGACATCACGGAGTTTCTTAAAAGTTACAATATAGGTTCTAAAACCCTATCAATGAAATTTTCATATTCTGATAAATTTAAACCTACTGTCCATCTTGTATTTTAAACTGATCTTTTACCTATGCATGAATATGAAACAACAGGCACTGGCCATCTGGAAAAAAAAATGTTTGGTCCACTCAGTTATGCAGATCAGTTATGTGGATAAAAGCTTCACAAAATCCTAACTTTTGCTTGAAAGTCTGAGTTTTATCATTGGCAATAAATACTGTCAACTGTTTTCCTTGAACTGGCAAGCTCAATTCATTCATTTCTGAGAATATAGCTGCAAATACCCAAGTCTGAATAACCAGTTTTTCTGTCAGTCATTCTTTCTAGTAAAAATTTTGTTTAATGAAGTCTCAAGACACCTGTAGTAGTCCGTTCTCACGCTGCTAATAACGACATACCAGAGACTGGGTAATTTATAAAGGAAAGAGGTTTAACTGACTCACAGTTGAGCATGGCTGAGGAGGCCTCAGAAAACTTACAATCAAGGTGGAAAGGGAAGCAAACACATCTTTCTTCACATGGTGGCAGCAAGGAGAAGTGCCAAGCAAAAGACAGAAAAGCCCCTTATAAACTCATCAGATCTCATGAGAACTCACTATCACAAGAACAGCATGAACATCACCACACCCATTATTCAATTACCTCCTACTGGGTCCCTCTCATGACATATGTGGGGATTATGGGAAGTACATTTCAAGATGAGATTTGGGTGGAGACATAGCCAAACCATATCAATAACCATTGATTCTCAGTTGCTGAAAAATTTTATTATACACACTTTACATTTTGTCACACAGAATATTAAAAAGACATTTACAGAGAGGTTGAGATTTAATAAAATTAATCATTTTATTGCTTCATTAAGGATATTCTTAAATGAAGCTTCCTTTTATTTCTTTGGTTGGTTGGTTTGGTTGGTTGTTTTCACTGTGAGCACACTGGAGTGAAGAATACACATATAGTTTGGTTCCTGCTTCGATTTGTGCTAAAGCTCGGGTGTTTATTATCAGTGCAAATGTCAGTAAAACATGTTAATATTACTATGTTGGCAAATCATACTTTGAAAACTGACACAATAGATGACCAATAACCAGTCATTAGCATTAGAGATATAAAATTTGTAAATATTTTAGGCCAGGTGTGGTGGCTCACGCCTGTAATCCCAGCACTTTAGGAGGCCAAGGTGAGTGGATCACTTAAGGTCAGGAGTTTGAGACCAGCCTGGCTAACATGGTGAAACTCCATCTCCACTAAAAATACAAAAATTAGCCGACATGGTTGTGGACACCTGTAATCCCTGCTACTCAGGAGGTTGAGGGAGGTAAATCACTTGAACCCAGGAGGTGGAGGTTGCAGTGAGCCGAGATCGTACCACTGCACTCCATCCTGGGCGACAGAGCAAGACTTTATATACATACATACGTACATATGTACATACATACATACATACATAAAATATTTTAAGATAAGCTAAGGCATTTTTACTGTGATGGAAGAGAACGGAGTGAGTATAAGAGATGATTTGTTTTAAAAAGAAAAGAATTAAGAAAACGTAATTTTTGAACCTCTTGAGATCTAAACAGAGCTTTTCATTTGTACTTTAAATGCTTTTATTTGTAAATGGCACAATTAAGCTCCTGAGTCTTCATTTTTTAACCTAGCACCTCTTAGATTCAGCCAGTTATGAAGTATTGGCAAATATTTGGGAAAAGAAGAAATGAATCATTAATATGAGAGTAAACAAGCATATACAGAAAGTTCACATTCTCAGAAAAGTAATTTAAAAAAGAAAAAGTTTCTCAAATGTGGAACGAATCAGTCTTGGTTGATTTTTGCTTTTGTTTGCCTATTTGATAGCTTTTGTTTTGGGTTGTAAGTTATCACAGGCAGAATTTTGTTTCTTCTGCATGTTTTTTTTTTTCATTTCACACCTGAACACTGAAGAACTGATTGTATATATAGAGAGACAAACTTTTCCCTAACTTTATGTGTGTTTATGTCTTGATTTGAACTTAGGTCTTGATTTCCAAACACAAGTCAGTTTTTCTTACATGCTAGAGAAAACTGTTAATTCTAAATTAGGAAAAATCATGTTATTACATATAAAGGTCTGAAAGATAAGATACACTAAGGAGACCTTCTTTTCCTACATGAAATTATTAAATAGAGAAGCTCTGAAAGTATCTTTCTTATGTGATATCTTAATTGTGACATTCTACATGAAATATTTAGAATATCCAAATTAGAATATAAACTGCATGAGAGCAAGAGTTATATCCCTTTGGCTAACTGCTACATCCTCAGCATCTAGAATCATGTCAGGCACCTGGCACGCACGTGATAAAGTTTTCTTGAGGTACGTAGAACAACTTCCCTATTGTGAAGGCCTCATGGATCACCTATTAAGACAAAAGGAACAAACACCGTTACCTCACATACATTTATGATTCTGTCCTATCTCAATTGTGTGTATTTTCTATTGCGATTGCCATTTGGTAAAATCTCTGCTTTCTAAAATTGAAAATGAAAGGGGAAAATACAGCTGGGTTTTTCTAACATTTCCCCTTCCTTCTGACATACAATTTTCAAACTCAAGAAATAGAGATTTTGGTTAGGCGCAGTGGCTCAGGCCTGTAATCCCAGCACTTTGGGACGCTAAGGCAGGTGGATTACTTGAGTTCAGGGGCTCTAGACCATCCTGGGCAACATGGTGAATCCCTGTCTCTACAAAAAAATACAAAAATTAACCAGGTGTGGTGGTGTACACCTGTGGTCCCAGCTATCCTGGAGGCTGAAATGGAAAGATGGCTGGAGCCCAGGAGGTTGAGGCTGCAGCGAGCTGTGATTGTGCCACTGCACTCCAGCCTGGGTAGCAGAGCAAGACTCTGTCTCAAAAATAGTAAGGAAAAAAAGAAAGAAATACAGATTTTGACAGAGCCATTTCATTTAAATTATGTTTTAGATAAATAAGGAGTGAAACATGGGAACATGCATGTGAGAGGGTTCTGAACACAGTTTCTAGTACCAATGTAACCTTGGCAGCACATTACAGAAGAAAGTGCATGGGCTAGACTAATTAGCTGTATGGCTTTGACTAAATTCATTAGTTTCTCTAGACTTCAACTTCTTCATCTTGAAAACAGGGGTAATAATATTTACTTCTCACATGGCTGTTGTTAAAATTAAAGGAAGTATGATATAACGCACTTAGTACAGAGCCCAGTGCCTGAGATACAGTAAATGACCAATAAATGTTAGTTCTATTCATTTATCAGAAATCCATGACTTAAAACTTGTCAATAAAAAGAAAGTAAGTTTCACTGCAACTGCATATAGATAAAGCCACTACCAGAATTTAGAACCAATTTAAAAATATATACCAGTTAAAAATATGCACACACAAGACTACTTCCTAGAGTGTGATAGATGACCTCCAAGTATTTATCACTGGTAATACCTACTGGTACTAATTCATATTTTAAAATTTTAGCTAATTGAAGTTACTTTCTACTTTGTTGCATCATTTCACTACTTAGAAGACAATAATGTGGAAATTCCATAGTCATGGTTCCTGCTGGTACTGCTAAGTATCTGTATCACTGCATAAAGAACCAACGTGGAGAACAGTACACACTATGTGAAGCATACTCATGTTACTGACTCATATTTACAGCTGCTTAGTACATAATATCAGCTTGGCTTTCCAAGTGCTACATAGATGCATTTTAAAATGGTATGCTCTGTGTGCCATATTCAATTCACTTTATAAGCTATTCCCAAAGCTAGATGATATTAGCTATATTTTAAACAATATTCTATATTTGCATTACATCTTGTATTTTGCAAGATACATGAATATATATGTGTATGTTAAACAGATTCAGACACACACATTCTATAACATCTTCATGGAGTGTTAACTAGGTTTTAAAACTGGCATACATTTAATAATTTACCTCAGTTCTTCCATGATATATAATCACGAAAAGCCAGTTAAATAACTTTACTAAATTCTAATTTACCATCTTTTAATAGGAAGAGCATACATAGGAAATATCACATTCACTTTAAAATTTATGAAGACAATCTAAAAATTCTACGTAGAAAGTGGCTTATCAACAAACCATTAGCAAAGTGCTTGTGCGCTTTGTGCTTGGTATGCCTCAAACAAACAAATAATAATTCATGAAATAATCCATCAATGAATGAAGGAAAACTACTGAGTGCCTACATCAGGTGAAAACTGTTCTAACAGCTTTCACATGTTTTCATATAACTCTTAACGGAGCCTGGCAAAATAGACACAAGTATTCCCGTTTGTCTAAATGACTGAGGCCTATATAATATAGGGTCTTAAGGTGGAGCTAAGATGCTCACTACTGCACATTACTGTTTTACCAAATCACTCCATAATAGTAATAATACTACATCACCATCAGCCGGTGTATGTACATTTGATTTCTCTTTTTCCCAGTAGGAAGGATAGGTTTTCCTATGTCTTCCGTGTTCCATTACTACAAAATACAAGCTATTGGCTGGAGTCTTTCCTTTCTCCTACCGTTATACCTGTCCCTAACCAATGTTACTGTAATACTCTCTGATCTCCTTCCCATTTCTATCATCTAGTGTTTGCACTGCTGCCTTCTAAAGACAACACACGTGCATATGCTTGTAAAGCGAATAAAGTAAAGCAAATAAAAATCTCTAACAGTTCTAAGGTTCTTAGGAAGGCATTCAATGTTCTTCATGAACTGATTCAATCTTCCATTCCAGCTTCATCTTCTACTATAGTCTGCTCCCTATCCATACCTTATTCTAATTAGATGTACCATGTTTTTGTATTCCCATGTTTTTGCTTATAATTCTGATTGTGTTTCTTTTTTAACGTTTCCACAGAACTTTACTGTGTTATATATTTTACTCTACCTTAGTTGCACACACATGTTCTGGCCTACCAACTACCTCCCTCTTATTCCAAGTAGCATAATTTATTTACATATGAGTCACTCCACTGATTACTTGGATAATTAGCTGTGTGACCTCAGACAATTTACTTAACCTCCATGAACTTTCATTTCCTCATCTGTAAAATGAAGATGATAATAATACTTATATATGTAAAATGCTTTTAGTACCTAGAACAGTTTGCCTCATATAAGTGTGAGCAATTTATATACTACTATTAGCTACAATCTTCAAAAACTTCATTGTTTGATGTTAACTGGCTCACATATGCATCCAACTCTGATTTTCAGTCTTGCAAATTTTTGAAGAAAGACATTTAAATTTCTAAGTATAAAGTATTTTTAAAGACTAGATTATAACTTTTCATAGTAGTTTTACATTAGCAAATACATACATTATTATAATGAACTAAAAAAGACAAGCTAACTATAGCATAAGACCAATCTCAAGTATAATACTAATAAAGTTGGAATGGATTCCTGCAGAGTACAAATTAAGCTCATCCCTCCCATCAAAGCATCAGTTCATCCTAAAATTTTACTACACATACAGTGAAATGAGGGTTGTAAGTCAAGTTAGGACTCTTGGGAAGAAATAAGCCTATTCACTGAACACTTCCATTTCTGCATACAATTTAGAAACTATTTTTGAATGTCTTCTGTACATTTTAGTATTTACACAAAAATATGCCTTGTTTTATAGTTACAGGATATTCATAGTTCAATGCCTGGGTCTTCTCTTCTTTCTCTCTTTGCACTAGACAAATTAACAAGTCTGATCCTTCAGCCCAACTAGAAAAAAAAAGAATGGACATCAGGCTTGTGAGAGTGGCTGGATGGAAGGGGAAAGAAAGCTATGGACAGAAGCCTTACAGTAATATAAACCAAAAGGCAGGCCAACTAGTACCACTGTATCTGAGTGCCTACTTGGAAACATGGAAATAACTGACTGTGTTCTATAAAGTATGAGAGACAGAATATGAAAATTCTCTCAAAAAATATGAGAGACAGAAGCCTTACGGTAATATAAACCAAAAGGCAGGCCAACTAGTACCACTGTATCTGAGTGCCTACTTGGAAACATGGAAATAATTGACTGTGTTCTACAAAGTCTTTCTACTCCAAACTGAGGACTATATGGGTAAGAATTATAAAGGCAAATTAAACAACAATCAAAACTGGGCATAAACACTCAAGTACACAATGGCTATTAAATGATACAGGATTATATTCTTTCATTAGCATCATACTACTAATACTATTAATATATCGTCTACATACAACATGTGAAAATAAAGTACCGCTATCATGCATCTAAAAAACAGACCAACAATAGATTCACTATTAACTGCCTAAAAATCATAAGTATAGCAGTCACTTTCCAATAGAAAATAATTATTAGAAGTGAATATTTACTAAGTTACTGTGAAACAGATCCAATACCTTTTATACAGACTCTGAGAAGAACAGATGGTGAAAACAGTAAAAATTCCAGTGGAAACTATGCCTAATTATTATTAAATTTATGAGGCTTGTCTTAAAGATAAGGTTTGAGTTAAATAACAGCTATCAGCACTTTAGAAAGACACATTTAATCTTAAGACCTACAGTGTGTAAAGCAGGATGGTAAATTACTTAAGAGTAAGTGGGATGTTCTTTAGAGGAATACATTTATCAACAAGACTACAAATTTTTGGTTTCCAGGTCAGTGCCTACTTCTGCAAATGTTAAGCCTCATGAAAAAAAGAAATATGCAGATGGATGCTTTACTTCTTTGCTCATCCCAAAACATACCTCTATTTCATATTTAAAATAATCATGAGCAGGCATGTAACTTTTCTGACTTTTCTATCTGATTTCAGGTCCAGGTATTTTTAAATTTCCATTACCAAACTCAGGTCCAGGTTTTTTTTTAATTTCCATTACTAAATAACAGTAATTTACCTAGAGTAGCAGCAAAAACAGCATAACTACTCTAGCTTCACAGTACTTTGTTTACTTTAGCAATTTTTCATTCATAAAAGACTGTGCTTTTGAAAGTGACTGAATATATATTTAGGCATCCTTATATTATTTGTATCATATTAGAACCAAGAGAACAGCTGCAGTCCAAGGTAGCTGGAAGTGGTAGGACAGGGCCTTGGGGTCTTCAGGAAAAAAACAATGACGAAAAATGAAAATGAAGAAGAAAACTAAAAATGCCACCCATCGGGAGTGAGGATTCGTTAACTATTCCTGTGCACCCCTCCACCCCGAGTAAGGAGAAAACAAAGGCCTTTCCAAGCGCCTCTAGTAGGGCCAAAGCATGTGAACTGAAAGGAAAGATTTCTCAAGGCAAACAAAACCAGCGTTCCAGGCACTATTCTAAGTATTTTTCATGTATTAACTAAGTTGCTTGTTCCAAGAAGCTGTGGAAAGAGTAGTATTGTATTTTTCATATTGCAATACAGAAACTGAGGCACTAAGAACTTGCTCAAAGTCACAGAGCTAAGAAAGAGCTGAAACTGAGATTTAAATACAAAAAGTGACTCCAAAGCCACTTTTGGATTTCCAAGTATCTTCAGTAAAAAAACAGGATTTCCAAGTATCTTCAGTAAAAAAAAAACACTTACCAAGGCAAAAGTCAATGCAAAATTAAAGTCATCATATAATAATCAAGTATGTCTATATTACTCAAACTCCTACCTAGAATCACTTTTAAAAGACACTTTGTTCATTTGTAGAGTGTTTATCTCGACAATTCACAACAAGGAAAGAGAGATGCAAGTTTCTATGCCACCACATTCTGCTTTGGTCTTAAAAGTGTTTTTATCTTTCTTTAAAAGTGAATTCTAATGAGCCCTTAATTGTCAAAGGACTTCATAAATATTCATTAGACATTAACAGAAGTCCTGTTTCCCATTCCTAAAAGCTGAGAGAGAAAACAGTAAGACTTTAAAGTGGCATAGGCATGAAGAAAGACTAAGTGGAACTGTAAACATTTGGTTTTGTATTAGATGTTTATTGAAAGGCTCAAATCATTATAACACTTAAATTCTCAGTGTGAAAATATTTTTTTTTCCTTAAGAAGAAGTTATCCAGAGTATCATCTCTGTTGGTGATATTTTCTTCTTTTCAGTCCCTCATCCAATTCTGAAGGATCCAAAACAATTCACTAACTCTTTATAATGCCTTCTGCACCACTGAACAGTAAAATGGTTATGATGTTGGGAGGAAATGATTTTGATCTAAATCAACAAGACAAGCCCTGCTACTATGAAAGTGCCATAAACCTTTTTCATAAAAAAAGGGTTTTCACACTGGATTTGTGTCTACAAAGAAAACATTCACCAAAATGTTGCATAGCAGTCAGGATAATATCACACAGACAAACTTCTCTTCATGAAGTCACAGCCTTGAATGTTTCCTAGTTGCCAAAACCGGGGAGATGCCCAGAAGATATCATGGCAATTCCGTGTTCCCAAATGGCTTGGCAAGTCAAATATTAACTTACTAAGAACAAATCTCTCCAAAGCCCGCCACTTCTAATTCACTGCTGAAAAAGAAATCTGTAAAAGAGGGAAAACTATGTTTGCTATTTCTAGCAATGATTTCCCCCCCTTATCTCTTAGAACTTTTGTTTCCCCAGCCAAGAAGCATAACAGATAGATTTTTAGAAAGCTACCTTCATAAAAGACTCAACTGTGAAGTAGCTTCCTTGTCACTATCATGCAACCAAAAGCAAGAGCTATATCATATTGGTCAAATTTGAAGAAAATAGAAGATGAATATTAACTCAAGAAAATGATTATGCTTATTTAATAGACTCTTTCTGTAATTTCCAATATGAACCAAATTCAGAATACTTAAATCATTTTAATTTTTTAAAATTTTTAATTAAAAATGATTAATGAAATAATTTGTTTTGCTTCTTCACTGTGTTTATTACTTTATTATTATTCTACCACCTTCCAAATGAATATGTATGGTGATATAAACAAAATGTAAAAAGGATAAAACTAAAACATAAGTATGTAGTTTTCTTAATGGCTGTTTAATAATTTAAAGTTCAGAGTAAGAAACGGAATTTTAATCCCATATAGTTAGTTTCAATATACATGAAAAATATCATGGTGAAGAATACAACTACTTAAGACTTGTAGTTTTCCTCATTTTATTAAACTTTATTCTGGTCTCTATTAAGTGTTACCTGACACTTGTCTTCCACTTCATTAGAATAACCAAAATGTCTGACCTTCTTGCTCAATCCCTAGAGCTAAGCCTAAGATGCTTCCTGATTGAATAAATGTGAATGAACTTAAAATTGGTTATTGTGATGGTTAATTATGTGCATCAACTTGACTGGGACATAAGGTGCCCAGATATTTGCTCAAACATAATTCTGAGTGTTTATGTAAGTGAGGGTGTCTTTGGATGAGATTAACATTGAAATCTATAGACTGGGTAAAGCAGATTGCTCTCCCTACTGCGGGTGGGCCTCATCCAATCAGCTGAAAGCCTGAATTGAACAAAAAGGCTGACCCTTTCTCAAAGTAAGAGAGCCCCGCCTGACTGCCTTCATACTAGGACATGGGCTTTTTTTCCTTTCTTTGCACTTGAACTGAAACCTCCCCTCTGCTTAAGTCTTGACTTTGCTGGCCTTCTGCCTCAAACCATGCCATCCAATTTCCTAGGTCCTGAGCTTGCCAAGTGCAGATCTTGGGACTTGTTAGCCTCCAGAATCAAGTGAGCCAATTCCTTATAATAAATCTCTTTACACACATGCACACAAACAGACACACACGCCTTATCACCTTATTGGCTCTGTTTCTCTGGAGAACCCCAATTAACAGTTAACAAAGTGTCACTAAATAACCAGGCATTTTAAAAAACAAATACAAATAACCAGGCATTTTAAAAAACAAATACAAAGGGTTATTTAACTAAATCTGAAGTATCTCAGGCCCTTGAATTATGGTTTTCATGATTTCTTCCATTCAAGAAAGCAAGAACTGTAATTTCATTGTCAGCAATATAGAGTTCATATATATATATATATATATATATATATACACACACACACACACACACAAACACACATATATATTCATAATCTATGCTTTACTGATTGCAATTTTGGCAACATAGCCCTTCATAACTCTGTGACCCACTGAGTATCCAATGTAAGCTCAGACTGGCAAACCATTAACATCTTCTTAGTGTACTGCAAAGTATCAGTATGAGATTAAACAGCAAAGATTCCATTCAAATAAGTCAAAGATTTCATCCACAGCTAAGGTATATTCACCAACTAAGAGATGATTACTGATCAGACAGAGTGATTTTTGTTTTAATTTAGTTTCTATAAATTTCCTTGGGCAGTATCTTTCTCATCTCTATCCTCTATTGGCCCAGAGATTTGTATATAATAATGTTTTCCAACAGTAATTGCTCCCTTGAGAAATGAAATTGTTTAATAAATTTCTAAATTGAAGACCAGTTCAAGATGCTTGACTCTCCTCTATTAAATAAGGTAATAAAATCACCAGAGGTATGAAAGCTACTGGCAAAAACCTAAGCTTCAGAATACATGAAAAACGTGTTGGTGAAGAATACAACAATTAAAATTTTTATATTATGAAACAGATACATACATACCAAAAATCTTACTTGAAACATTTAGACATTTTTCATTACATGGATTCTGAGTGTTTTAGTATAGAACATACTCATTTCTGGTGACTAAAGGAAGAAGAAAAAGTACTTCAACATGTTTTCAACAAAAGGAAATGGCTATGAAAGCAAAATAAAGAGTTTGAGGCTAGCCAGGACAAACTAAAGGTAAATTCCTTGTACTCTAGAGATACTCAGGCGTTTTGTCTTAAGATAAATGCCTTTATCTTTCTTTCAAAATGTACAATACATTTTTTTATTTCTTAAAGTTTTCTTTTTCTATTTTTTAAATAATCTAGAAAAGAAATAGTGGCAATGATTAAGAACTTCTATGCTCCTGCAGGAACACAGTGAGTTACATATGGGTCCTCCTTGTTTGTTTTTTTGTAAGGCCACTAGACTAACTCAAGGCAAAACTTCCTCACTAGGCACTAGTTTACCCTACAGTATCCTTTCCTGAGCCCTAGGCCAACACACTCAACTGACTACCAAGCATCTTAGTGACACTAAGAAGTCTTGTTTATATGTCAAACTCAACAAACTCTGAAGTTACTCTTCTTTTTCAAGAAGGCTTTCCACCCTATCCCTTTCTTTCCAAAATCTGCTCTTTCTTCAGCATTCTCTCTGATGAACATCACCGCCATCCACCCAGCTGCCAAAGTGAAAAACCTGAGTCTTCTTATATCTCTTCTGCTCTTATATTCGCTATGCCCAATCCATCAACAACTCAATCATTTTAATCTTCCATATTTTTCTGTAATCCTTCCTCCTCTCACCATTGATGACGTTAAGAAGATGCCAAAAGGAGGCCCTCATCATTTCTTACCTGATTGACGGCACAGCCTCCTAATTTCCATTCTCTATCCCTACCTTCCTTTAGCCTTCTTTACACCACAGCTAAGATTACAGTTTTTGTTTGTTTGTTTGTTTGTTTGTTTTGTTTTGTGACAGAGTTTCCCAGTTTCTCTCTTGTTGCCCAGGCTGGAGTGCAATGGCGCAATCTTGGCTCATGGCAACCTCTGCTTCCCGGGTTCAAGCGATTCTCCTGCTTCAGCCTCCCAAGTAGCTGGGATTACAGGCATGTGCCACCATGCCCGGCTAATTTTGTATTTTTAGTAGAGACGGGGTTTCTCCATGTTGGTCAGGCTGGTCACGAACTCCCAACCTCAGGTGATCCACCCACCTTGGCCTCCCAAAGTGTTGGGATTACAGGCGTGAGCCATCACGCCTGGCCAAAATTACAGTTTCTAAAATATCCATTCATTCATCTACTTAACAATTACTTAATGAGCACCTTCCAGGTACCAGGCTCTGTTCTAGGCCCAAGGACATAGCAGTAGAAAGAAACAGACACGATTCCATGCCCTCACAGCTCACAGTCAATGGAGAAAAAGAAACAGTAAATAAAACAACATAAAGATATCTAAATTATACTAAGCACTTTGGAGAGAAATAAAGTAGGAAACAGGACAGATTTATTGGGAGTAGTCATGATTTAAAAAGGATAGCTAGAATTCCTCCATGTAAAAGTCAGTTTTGAGAAGGGAAGGATGAAGAGAGTGAGTTGTAAAGAAAAGGGGAAATGTGTTCTAGACAGGAGTGTCGAGCAAGAGCCTTGAAGGAGAAGTGCACCTGGCATTCTTGAAGAGTAACAGGTGCCAGTTTGTCCAGCAAGAATAACAGTAGTACATGGTGAGGTCAGACAAGAAATGGGGAACAGATCTTCATGGGCCTTTCTGAAAACTTCTACTCTGATTGCTATGCTAAGAATAGACTATAGAGAGCAAAAACCAAAGCAGAGAGCCAGTCAGGAGATTGTTGTTATAATGAAGGCAAACACTGACTGTGGTTTGGACATGGGTGGTAGTGGTGGAGGTGATGAGAAGTGGTCAGATTCAAGATATATAATAAGTCCTCACTTAATGGTGTCGATAGATTCTTAGAAATTGCAACTTTAAGCAAAACAATGTGTAGCAAGTCCTTAATGTCATTTCCTTCAGCAAAATAATGTCATTTCCTATTGGTAAAAACCTAAGCTTCAAAATACATGTCACTATAGTGAAGTGAGACAATATATTTCCATTATAACACTGATGAAAAAAATTGGTTTCATTATATGTCATTTTGCTTAAAGTGCCAGTTTCCAAAAGCCTATCAACAACATTAAGTGAGGACTTGCTGTACTTTGAAGGTACTTCATAATTTTGGTTCCTCAGGAAAGTAAAGCCTAAGACAACTGCTTGCATAGAGTGAGTTTATTTGGGAATGACATCCCAGGAAGTTGAAGTTTGTGACTGGGGTTGTGAAATAACAAAGGAAACAATGGCAATTCAAGGATAAGTTATCTAGTTCAATCTCACTAAAGGAAACAAGTCCAAGTATAGCCAACCCATGGAATAAAAGGAGAAGTGATTACCTCTCAGTTCCTATCCCCCACTGGTAAGGTCTGCTTTCATGGGCCATTAACCAGCCCTCATTGCAGGTTATACATGAGTATAGAATGGTTGCTCCTAGCATCCCATGTGCTGCATCAAAGAGGGTCCATGACAGGAGGCCAGGAGATGAGATAGTGTTCAGTTCCACCTTCACAAAGCTGGGCAATGTCTCCATGGAACTGGTGGCTGTAGCCCTGACAGCAGTCACGGGTAGGTCAAAGAGGATTTGGACGTGGTACACACAGATGCCCAATGTAGACAGTACTGACTAATTTTCCAGTGAGCCATGTCTATTATGTGAGAGACAAGGAAAAGCTAAGCATAATATAGTTTTGTCTTAATTAACTATAAGGATGGAACTGCCATTAAGTGATAGAGAAAACGGGAAATACGATTATGTTACTTTTCTTCTCAAGAGCCAGCCACGGATCTACACACCCACAGGAAAAAAACATGTGGTTCCTAGCCTGTGTCTACACAAACCTTCATCATCATTCCCCTGTTTAAAATCTCAACTTAGCTGCTCACTACCCCTCACCTCCAACTCTGCAGTGACACTAAACCCTGTGCAGTTCTCCAGCAGTGCCATGCTCTTTTAGATCTTTCTGGGTGTTTTGCGAATGTTGGTCCCTCTATGTGGAACTTGTTTACTTCCTTTCTTTGCCTCTAAATGCCTTATCATCCTTTAGTTCTCAACTTGATTCAGACCTCCCTTTAAGTCAGATGCACACCTATCCGTTCCCAAAGTATTCTTTGTATTTGTTTGCCCCCGCGACCTCCATCTGGGAATGTTTTCCTTAAATCCACAGGGCATTTCACAACGTTTGAAGACACTAAACATTTAATAAAGGTTTGATAAACCAAAGGAAAAAATGGTTTCTTCAAGTCATTATATGCTTAAAGATGTAATAAAATGATGCTTAAGGGGAGGAGTAACATAATCAGAGTTTGTGTCTCATCTCAGACTTAAAGGTAAAATATTGTTTTCAACACGTCTATTATTTACAAGACTAAATGACATATTTTGTTAATGCTGTTCATGCAGGGCAGAGACCAACAAACTTCTTCTCATAGTGCTTTCTTGGCTTCATTCCATTTTCATTTTGATGGAAAATGTGAGCACATTAATTTTAGATTCAACATAGGTTTCTGTCGGGTAAACTTCTTGGCCGACTAGGTTTTCTAAACCTAGTCCTTTTCACTTGGAACAAATGTGTTATTCCAGAAGATGCCAACACATCATGTGTTACTGATAAATAACAAGATTAAGAGGAAAAATGAAAACATTTAAAATGCAAAACATACTTGGGAAAAAATTACACAGTAAAGTGACCTGGGGAATGCCCTTAGCAATTTTCTAAATTATTTGGATTATACCTTCAGGACTTAAGAGTAGATCTAGGCCCTATTAAATCTGTAAAATGCTACCAGTTTAGGGAATAAAATGGCATACAAAGAAAGCACCTATAATTTATAGCAAATAAAAATATCACTTCAGTTTGAAAATTCCAAAGTTCTATTAAATCATTCAACAACTCTCTCAATTAAAAGAAATAAGAAACCAATACATCCTTCAGAGATGCATGGATTAAATCAGATATCTTGATATTGTAGCATAAACTAAAATTCCTCTACTAGAAAAATAAGACAGAAGACTCTATTACCTAAATAAAATGCTTTAATCGTTCCAAAACTGTGCTCACAAATGCATTTCCATGCATTTCCATTGCCTGTTATTCACCTGCCATTGAAAAACCAACATAATTTAGTCCAGTGGTTCTCAAAGTTTAATGCATAACAAAATCACTGAGGGGCTTGTTAAAACATGGATCTCTGGGCTCAAAAACCCCCTAAGGTTTTTGATTCAGTGGATTTTAGTTGAGACCCAATAATTTGCTTTTATACCAGGTTCCCATGTAATGCCACTGCAGGGACCACAATTTGAAAAGTATTATCTAGTCAAATTCTGGCTTTTGTGCAAAAATTTCCACTCCCTCACACAAGCTTCTGGCACTGCATATTTTCTCACTTTGACTTTGCTTAAACTATTCCAATCGCTCCTATGTTTACAAGCTCTAGAAACAGAAGAAAGAAACTTTACCTAACCTGTATGCTACAGAATAACTGCATTTCCAACTGTATTTGAATGCTAGCATAACTATATTCATCTTTGCCATCATATGTTATTAATACCACAACAAACAAACCTCAAGGCCCTGAGGTCGTTTTCCCTCCCCAGTAATGGCCATGGCCCTGAGTGGGAAAAGCATGAAACAATATTCTAGGAAAATATGCTTATGTTATGTCTATGTGCTCCTCCTATCTGAGAAGGGCTTGTCAGTACAGGCAATTTCCCAACCACTCTCCCCTGTGACAGGAAAGGCATTTCTGTTATATTAACAAGTAGAAAAGTAATAGACACCTCTGATTCAGGAATGAGCCTTTCTGGCCTAGGGCCTGTGCTTTGTCTGCCAAGAGAATCTTTTATTCTGTGAGGGGAGAGACCATGATAAAGGTTCATAGGCAAATTAACAGCTACTCACAAGGCTAGACTGAGAATTATGAACAGCAGCTGTCCCAAGAAGGTACCATTTCCCCTTAAGCAAGCAGGATTGCAGGTGGGCTACTGCGCTAAGTTTTTAGCAAAAGAAAAGTAATCTGATTTGAATCAGGACTCATGGCAACTCTAAATCACATATAGTTTTTCTCATCAGTTAAATAATAAAATGACAAAACTGTTTCGGTAAAATTCTGATTTTAAAGATAAAATATTATTATAATTGATATTGAAGAAAGCAAACAACGTTCATTGCAGGACTCCTAGTTGCATATTTTCTTGTAGAAGATATTTTCTTGAACCGTCTTCAATTATTAGGAAAAAATCCATGTTTCAAGCTGAAAGGGAGGAGGGATAATGTACTTAATTTCATTTCTGGCTGACTCTTCTGTTATATAAAATGCTACAAATATATTTAAAAATGGATAAGAGAATACAAGATTCTTACAATTCATTTTTATAAAATCTTAACAGATATTTTACTTCTAAGGAATAAAATATTAGAGAATGAAGTCAAATGAGTACCAGTTCCTTCACCTCCCTTATTCTGCACTATCCTAAATTTGATTATCACGCCTATGAATATTTTTAGGAGCTTTATTGGGATATAATTAACATACTATAAAATTCACTCATTTAACATGTACAAATCATTGCTTTTTAATATAGGCATAGAGTTATGCAACCATCAAATGACATAATTTTAGAACATTTTCAACCCCCTCAAAAACAAAACCATATACAGGCAGTCACTCTCTATGCCCCCACGCCTCTCTGGAATTTTCATGTAAATAGAAAACACAACCTATGGTCTTTGTATCTGGTTTCTTTCACTTAGCATAGTTTTCAAGATTTATCCATGTTGTAGCATGTATCAGTACTTCATTCTTTTTATTGCCAAATAACATTCTATTATATAGATATACAACAGTTTGTATTAGTAATATATTTAACATTTATATTACCTATAACGCTGCTATGAACATCTGGGTGCAAGTTTTTTGTGGACACATTTTCTCATCTCTCTTCGGTATATACCTAGGAGTCAAATTGCTGGATCATATGACAACTACATGATTATCACTTTGAGAAACTGCCAGACTGTTTACCAAAGTGGTGGTACCATTTTATATTCCCAGGAGCCACAGATGAGGATTCCAATTTCTCCACATCTTTAGGATCATTTTTTATTATATCTTTTATTACAGCCATCCTAGTACATGTGAAGTGGTATATTGTGTTTTTGATTGAATTTCTCTGATAACAGGATGCTGAGCATTTTTTCATGTGATTGTCAGCCACTTGTATACATTCTTTGGAGAAATGTCTGCTGAGATCCTCGTCCATTTTCAAACTGGGTTATTTTTCTTTTTATTATTAATTTGTAACGGTTCTTTACATAGGCTAGATTCATGGGTGTTATAAGATACATGATTTGCAAATATATTCTTCCATTATGTGGACTGTCTTTTCACTTTCTTGGCGACGTGCTCTAAAACAGCAGTCCTCAGTCTTTGCGGCACCAAAGACCAGTTTTGTGGAAGACAATTTTTGTATGCACAGGGGTGGGAGGGGTGGTGGGGGATGGTTTGTTCCACCTCAGATCATCAGGCATTAGATTCTCATAAGGAGCCCACAACTGTGCATGAACCCTTGCATGCACAGTTCACAACAGCGTTTGCTCTCCTATGAGCATCTAACGCTCCCACTGATCTGACAGGAGGCACAACTCAGGCGATAATGCTCACTTGCCAACTGCTCACTTCCTGCTGTGTGGCCAGTTCCTAACAGGTCAGGGATGACTACCAGTCCATGGTCCAGGGGTTGGGAACCCCTGTTCTAAAGCACATAATTTTTTTAATTGACAAAGACTGTTTCATTATTTTTTTCTATTATTGCTTTTGCTTTTGGTGTCATATCTATGACAGTTTCTTAATCTTATGAATATTTCCATATAATTATTTATCTATACCTATAAATGATATATATCACTCTTAAAAATGGTTGAAACTATTATACTCCAACTAACAGTGGTTAAGGGTTCCCATTTCTCCACATCCTTGCCAAACCTTGGTAATCTAAAACTGCTAATTATTTTGCCAATCTGCTGACTATAATGTGATATGTCATATTATTTTAACTTGCAATTCTCTATTTATTTAGCTTCTTTTCCTATATTTCCATATTACTCCTCTATGAATGCCCTGTTCGTGTCTTCTGCTACTTTTATTGTTTATTTTCATTTTTCTCCTTCTTGAAGATTTTTTATATGCAATTAATAATAGATACTTTCCAGTTATATGTCATACAGCATGTTTTTCAAGAGTATGGGGTGTCCTTTTGCCTGTCTGTAGTTTGTTTTATTTACTACTACTGATTTTACTGTTAACAAATTCTAAAATGTTTTATGTTATGTGGTTTTGCATATTTTTGAATATCAAGTCATATAAATATTCTCCTCTAAGAAATGTTATTTGGTATAGCTGCTAGAAGAAAAGATACAAACGCCAGTGTTGATTTCAATCTAAAATGTACCATGTATTAACTCTGTGACCTCGAGCAAGTTATTTATCTTCTCCGAACTGTTTCTACATTTATACAAATGGAATAATAAAAGCTCCTGCACCTATGATCTACCCTAGGCTATAATCATATTATTTTAATCACTATAGCTAAAAAAACTGTAAAACCATAAGTATTTTTATATCTGAAAGAGCAACTATCCTTAACTTGTCCTGTGCTTAACATCTATAAATGGAAACATGCACATATTAAAACCTAAAATGAATGCTGATATTTGTATGCTTGGATTTCTAAATTGTAAAACCACAAATGGAATATGTTAGTTATTGTCTATTAGTTTATTAATAGCTATTGTAACTATAAGAATGCCACTTTCTTTTTTACCCCTAGATCTTTTTTTATTATTTTGAGGATAATAAGGTGATTCATTAAAAGCAGAGAAATAATAAAAACAATCCAGACTAAAAAGTAAACCATTCTAGAACTTCTTGGGGGAGTAATTTTGCCAGAGTATCTTATAAAATGTCAATAGATAATATGACATCTTTAGCAGATTTTTAAAAGCCCTTAAGTAGCAAATATAAGCAGCAAAACAAAGCCACAGGAGGAAACGAAGCATTCTCATTCGGCTTGCAAAACCAAAGTCAGTATTTACAGTTACTGAAGAAATAATTAATGGAGAGTTTGAAAAATCAGGATAAATACTACACCAATTTTACCTGCTAAAGAAGGTTCACTGATTATTCTAAAACATTCTACAGCAATTGCCCAAAGCCATAAAATCAAATGTGTAAATCTAGAGGATCCAAGTACAAGTGATATCCTACAATGGAAAGGAACATTAACCATGCAATTTTAGCATTAAGAAATAAATCTGTAGAGATGTTCACACTCATTTCCAAGGTGTACAGCTGCAGATCACGTTTCTTATTTGCAGTCATAGCTAGTTAGGGTATTTTGCATGTAATCTCTTTAGATTAACATTTTAGGAAGAGGAAAAAAAAGATGCTCCATTCTTCAATCTGGGGTGCAAATTTTTTGTCCTAGAACTCAAATGTGTTCCTCTACTTTGTCCCCTTCTCACCTCAGATAATGAGATATTTTAGGTCAGAACAAACTATGCATAAGCTGCATTCCCAGAATCACTAAATTATGAAAGTCTAAATGTGGTTGAATATAGAGTACTTTTTGCAAATTATATTAGAATATTAGAATGCATATATTAGAATAAATAGGAAATCAAAGCAGAAGTTATCAGTTCTGAGCTTTTTTCATACACTGACATTTATTCTTGGAGGTGGTGGTGATGGTAGGGAATGTTTTGTAACCTGTTTCTTAAATAAAATGCTCCTGTGGTATATTAGTCTGTTCTTACACTGCTATAAAAAAAAACTACCTGAGAATGCATGATTTATGAAGAAAAGAGGTTGAATTGACTCACAGTTCCACAGGCTGTACAGGAGGCATGGCTGGTGAGGCCTCAGGAAACTCACAATTACGGTGGAAGGGCAAAGGGGAAGCAAGCACATCTTCACGTGACGGCAGGAGAGACAGTGAGTGAATGGGGAAGTGCCACACACTTTTAAACCATCAGATCTCATGAGAACTCACTCACTGTCACAAGAACAGCAAGGGGGAAAACCACCGCCAAGATCCAATCACCTCCCACCAGGTCCCTCCCCCAACATTGGGAATTACAATTCATCATGAGATTTAGGTGGGGACACAAATCCAAACATATCATGTGGCAAAGACCTTGTTTTGGCTTTCTAAACATACAGCCTAAACAACAATCCTAAGGCCAAATCTAAAGTAATTCCTAAAGAACTAGAACTAAAAATTCTAGGATCCCAAGTTCTGTCCTGGGACTCTAGTACTAATAGTGAGACTTTAAACAATTCACCTAACAACTTTCTGCTTCATTTTCTTCGCTTTCAAAAATGAGAAAACAAAAGTAGATAATAAAAATTAACCAGGTCTTTTTTTCAAATGTAGGTGCTTTTTTGTTTTAGGTTGTACACATGTTTGTTTACATAACAGCACTTTATTTTCTGTTAAAGGAAACCTCCAGCTCCATCATCCCACACACAAACTACTTCCGTTCTTACTTGAAAGGAAATTCCTTTTCAAGGTTCACAGTACATTAGAGACAGCTGCATTGCTGAGCTTCCTCCAGAAACTTAAAAAAGCTGCAGATGTAGCCCATGCATGACATGGATTATGGAATGGGGCAATCCCAAGCATTTGGAATGCCTCTTCTCTTACTCTCTTTTAATTTTATATATTCTGGGGTATTGCCTATGTATATTCAATGGAGGGGTGTGTGGTGTGTGTGTGTGTGTGTGTGTGTGTGTGTGTGTGTGTGTGTGTGTGTGTTTATTCTAAATCAAGTCAAAAATTCCTGAGTGAACACAGGAGCTCTCTGAAATAGCTATCTTGAGTGCTAATTTTCAAAGCAAGATAGGGTAAAAAGTACATTTCCAGTTAATGATAACAACAATCAGACTACCTATTTACTTCCGAAGAGGCAAACCTCACATCAACCACACAGTCATTCCCTGGGTATGTTTCCATATTGCCCGGGAACTCAAAAGTGTTTATCTGGAAAACTCAATTCTGGACTCAAGAATCCACAAAATAATATTAAACTAAGGTAGTAAGAATTCTGGCATAGATCTTTTCCAGCAGAAGCAGGAAAGAGTTATGACTTAGTTTCTTTTCAGAACAGTCCCCAAAACTGCCTAGATAGCCACAAAGACATAACTCTTTCCATTAGGAATAATCTGTTTAATATAACTGGGGATGAGCAGAGGGCCCAGGAGCAAGCAAACTGCAACACAGTGCTTTCTGAAGGAGCAATCACAGAGCCAAACTCTGAACAGATTTCCAGGCGCTTCATAGGTATCTCATGACTATTTGGAGACAGAAATCACTTAGTTAAATGTATCTGAGGAAGAGACGGGAAATTTGGGACTCCTACTTCATTTCACTCTTGCAGAAATCTTTCAGCTCATACTTGGATTGTTCATACTAAATTAAGATTCCTTATCCCTTCTTCATCATTGGGGACAATATTTGTGTAGTGCTAGGACAACTGTTTTATTAAACAACACATCATGCTGATAAAATATTTTATAAAAGAATGTCTAAACTGGGTATATGGGTAAGTTACTTTTGAAACAAAGTCTGAAAATCCCTTTTAAATACACACAGTTTCTTCTCTTGTTCTGAAAGTGGGGTTAGAGGTTCTATCTGTAGGGAAAGAATAAACTGAACTTTATTATCTTGAATTCAATGTGTACAAACTCTCTTGGGATAGCTTATTAAATTTAAGCCTTCTCAGCTCAACTCCCAAATATTTGGTTTAGTGGTTTCAAAATGGGGTATTGGGACCTGTATGTTAAAAACGACCTGCAGTGATTCTGATACAGGAAATACATAGAACCATACTGGGAAAACTGCAGACTCCGTGTTTCTGAAATTGAGGGGTGTTGGTCGAATACTGCTCACCAGCTAATTTGTACTCAATGGCCATTGCAGCAAGTGCTCAGCCAGTGCTCAATGAACATCTGCATAAAACCTCTGAAGTCCCACCAGACAGGCCAAAAAGAGGCAGAAAAGCACCTGATCCTGAACTCAGGTCTATTTTGCCACACTGCACAAATCTGCCACAAGGAAAACACATTGGCCAACTGTTATATTATTGTTGGCAAGCACCAAAATTTGCTCAAAACCCTTACAAATGAAACCCAGCTGCTTAAGCTCAATACCAGATGTCTTCTACAATGTGTGGCTTTGATAGATTAAATTGAGCATAAGAAAGAGATGAAATATATGAAAATCTAATTTGCAAGATGTTTGTCATTAAGTTTATTTAACAAAAAAAGATAGAAAATTGTTTTTTTTACCATAATAGGTTAAGTAGAGTAGATTAATAATATTCATAATAGCTACTAATATTCCTATGTTATGAATAAACTGTTTGGTATATATGCATAAAATCAGCCCAAAAACGATCCCCCAGAAATTCCCCCATTGAAAGAATGTCATGTGCCTATAAAATCACATGATTTAGCACAAGGCTCTTTCTCCTTTAGACTCTTCCCCCAATTTGAACATCTTTTCACTCGGGGCACAGGAAATTAAGTAGGAAATATTTAGTGATACTGTCTGATTTCAATAAATTGTAATAATCCTATGAAAACACACACACACATATATATATAAGAAACATATGTGTGTGGATAAGTATAATGTGTCTAAGCAAGTGTGTGAAGAAAAAGGCAACTTAAGTGGCATCTACCCTTCTTCTATTAACATGTCACAATGGAACTCTTTTGTGATTATTGTTGTTGTTTTCCGGGTCACTGCACAGTTCTCAATAACTTCAGCTGAATTCAGAGGCTAAGTTAAATTCAGAAAAGCCACTCAACTATTCCCCCAAAGAGCTGGTGCACATTTCCTCACTCAAATCAGCCATTATTTCATGGATAAATACAGCATGTCATTCTTACAACATTAACTTTTTTATAAAGTAGGAACAGAAAAAGACTTGTTTTATAATGCAATTTGAAAACAACACATATTTGAGCATATCAACTCTAACCAAGACAAATATTCAGTTGAGATTCAGCGCCATAAAAAAGTGCATAATCATTAAAATTATACACAACTGCAAGCAACAAGTTTTTATTAATTTCTTCAGATCTGAAAAAAATAGTGATTTGAAATACTGATTTGAATTTTTCAGATTTGAAAAAATGTAGTTTTCTTTTAGAGAGAAAATAAAGGTAAACACTTTAGCAAAGACTTAGTTTGATAATGAATATTTCTATAAATGTAATAACAGAAAGATAATTTCATGTGGCGTTTCCAAAACAAACCTTGGCTTGGATTTTCTGAAGCTCCGTGCTATTGGCCTTGGCATAGCTTGTATTGAAGGTAGACAGAGATGGCCAGAAAAAATTTTAAGATGTCCTGTTACATTAAATTGACTCACACCTGGCTGTTATCTCATCAGTGCAGTTTCTACATCATGGAAGTGACACAATTGATTTTTTTAAGTAGTGTAAGTCACTATTTCCTTATATGTAAAACTCCCATTAAAACTGTGAAGACACCAATATGACTATGGGGACATTATGCAACACTGAACACTGTACGGCAGTAAAAAACTACGAACCAAAGACAATTTTCACCAGGTACTCATGAGGTTTTCAAAAGTAAATTTGAAATGTACATTAATTTTCCTCTGGACTCCAGAAGAAATCAGAAACATAGTTTCAGACATTAAGTTCCCAGAATCTGATTGAATGAACGATGTATAACACTAGCCTCAAACTCATGTCCTGTTCAGAAATCATAAATGCAAAATTTATGAGATGTTCTTTATGAGACATATAGTTTGCAACTACCATTTCAATAAAGGAGCGAAACTTACATATAACAATGTCCTAGAACTAAAGTCTGTCAAGTCACTACACTACTTGTTTCACACATTATTTCTGCCACCACGTTGACATCCCGAATTTCTATAGCATCTTTTTTTACAGAGTAAAAGATAGTCAGATCTACCTTCATTTACTCTTCAGATAATTCTGTAGGACCTATAGAAATACATCATCATTATTTTCGGTAGTAACATTTGCTGAATTCTGAAGTTCAAGTGAGAAATATTAAAGTGTTTTTTAAAATAATTTTCAAAACATTTAGTTGATAAATAACTCATTTGCTAGCCAATATCAATTCACTACAAACAAAAGAGTCCTGGAAGTATTTATATTGCTATCATAAGTGACAAGAGTAGCCATGTTAAAGGTTTTTGATTGTCAATATAATCCAAACCCTCTTCTAGAAAAACCAGACAATAATAGACACTGTGAGCAGGTGCAGTTTTTCTAGAAAAGGGTTTGGATTACACTGGCAATCAAAAACCTTTAACATGGCTAGTAGGTTACCTTTGATTATTCTAAGGGTCCGCAGCCAATCAAATTCTCCCTCCAAAGAAATTAAAAATAAAAGTGCAGCACTTTGGGAGGCCAAGGCGGGTGGATCACAAGATCAAGAGATTGAGACCAACCTGGCCAACATGGTGAAACCCCGTCTCTACTAAAAATACAACAAAAATAGCTGGGCGTGGTGGCGTGTGCCTGTAGTCCCAGCGACTCGGGAGGCTGAGGCAGGAGAATCACTTGAACTCGGGAGGCGGAGGTTGCAGTGAGCCAAGATCACACCACTGCACTCCAGCCTGGTGACAGAGTGAGATTCTGTCTCAAAAAAAAAAAGTGAAACATCTGTCAGTTAACTCTGCAGAGCTAAGCAAAATGGTCTTGGAACATTAGGGACTGCAGCCACCATTTTGAGTCAAGCAAGAAACTATAAGTATGTCCAGGGACATAGATTCCTCTATACACCAAGCCTGTGCTATACACTCAAGACACAACAATAAATAAAATGGACAGAGTTTGTTCTTCTGAGAAGCTTAGCTTCCAGCAGGAGAGTGACATGTATAATGATAAATTATGATATGTACCATAAAGGAAAAATAAAACACAATGAGGGATTATATCAAAGGGGTTTCATTTAATTTAGATTGTTAAGGAAAACTTAACTAAATGGCACTTATGCAAATGCATGGATAAACAGAGTAGAAAGGCAAAGAACTTTCCAGACTGTGAAAACAGTATATGTGAAGTACCTGAGTGAGAAAAAGGTTGGATCATTTTTGTCTTGTTTTGTTTTGTTTTGTTTGTTTTCAGGCCTATATGGCTGATGCTCAGTAAGCAGTGAGATGAGCTGCAAGATGAGTCAGGAGCCAGCTGATATCAGACCTTTGCAGGACACAGAAAGATCTGGATTTTATCCTAAATACAAGGAGCGTCCATTAAAGAATTTTAAACAAAAAGAAAAGAAGGGAGCAGACGCACACAGCGAGAGTGGAACGTGCACAAGGCCCTCAGAGAGAGACAGACATAGACAAGGAGATGTTCCGGTCCTCCTGGCCTGCTGGGTCCCATGAGGCCTGTGTTTCCTTTAGTTTTTCTTTATGTCTCCATTAAACTTCTTTCTCTACTTAAGATTCTGTTCTTTATAACCAAAATATCAATACTATGATTTTATATAGTTAACTAATCATCAAAAGAATGTAACAGAGATAGTATCAAGCAGAGTAATCAGTTAATCCGGAAAGATATTTTCCAAGTTAAAAGAAACATGGAGAGGTCTAGAGTAAAAATAGAGTGCAAAGTCACAAGATCATCCTTATGTATTTTACTATTCACTTTTCCAAACCAACAAATATATATTAATATAGACAAAGTCTCTATTTTACAGATAACAAGTATAATAATCAAGACCAAAAGAGGCCATCTGGACCTAAAATGCAGCATAAGAAAGCTTCACAGAAAACTTAGCTGATTAAGATAATTGTTCTATAATTAGTTGTCAATATTTTCTCTTATTTGAGGATTTGTTCAAATTCTTATATGAATTCTAAAAATAGATATGCATTTGAAAAGTTGGGGGAAGAATTCATAGATTTATTCCTGGCAATTCTAAATCAATAAAAGATTTGTACAATGTTCTAAATCAATAAAATATCTGTCCAATGTTATTTCAGATTCAGTTGGCTTACAGAGAAAAAAGAAACTAATTTGAGTTATTTTGCTGTTCCAATGTTTTTTCAAAAGCCTTCATATATTTGTAATTTACAAGTTTGAATTATACTATGTACAGACATTTATACACAGATAAGACTTGCATACGGTTGCTAGCATTTTGAAAATAATAAAAAAAGGTGAAACCAAATAATTTCAGTCTGTACTTGGCAATTACGTGAAATTACTATCCAATCTAATGAGCAGAACTTAAGTTGAAAACTATAGTTTAGCCATTTTCTTCCCAGGTAAATTACCAGAGATCAAATTTCTTACATCTGTGATGCTCACCACAACTTGCAGTTACTGCCGATTAATAGCCTGAGATTAAGAAATGCCACAAAATAGCTGTAGTAGAAAACATTTTAAACACATAACCACATTTATGCATTTAACAGCTGTGTTGGTCTAACAGTTCAGATTTTCAGTATATTTTGCCATATGGTAATAAGGATCATTTTTCACTTAAAATATTACCAAAAACTGATGCCGCATAGCAATATTATCATTCTAATTGTGAAACTACCTATTCACAGCCATGTTTGTTATCCTCCTCTTACTGGATTCCCTATTTGCCCTGATTATACTAAAAAAAAATGTATAACCTATTTTTTGAATTTTAAATTAGTGTCAACTAGGCCAGACATAAATATGACAATAGGAAACCTATGGAATATGGCCTGGCAACGGAGAGGTGGTACATAAAATCCAGGTTATATAAAACTGTACAGACCATGGAGACTTGGGTCTGGTTTTGATCACTGGGTTTGAGGATTTTCCTGTATTCACAAGGGAGTGGATTTCTACTTCCTATCTCACCTTGTTTTCCTGTAAGTATCTTTATTGATGTAGAATTGCTCCTAAAATAAATGTGGCTGCCAAGTTTTATTTAATCTGATTGCTTTAATAGCCTATTAGCATTATTTTATAGGGGAAAAATTATAGACATTTTCACATGTACATTTAACAGGGAACCAATGAAAATTTCACCATCTTAAATGTGGGAACATGAGGCCTATCCTCGTCAGGACGGGTACATTGTTGCCACCATTGTGTTAGAACAACAAACCCAGAGTCCTTTAGTTTTTAGGTCTGTCAGTCTACCATCTTTATAACTTTACTAAATTCTCTTAACAGAATTTAAGAAGAATGGTAGTGAACAAAATGATGTTTTAATACTGTTTATGCATTGCACTATATTCAATATTTTAGTACTGTTTACACATTGCACTATATTCATTATGACTGCCTGTGAGTCTCTACTATGTTTGGAGAATAAAGGGGTAGGATAGTACAAGTAGCTCAATCTAAACATAATCCATTTCAAGTAGAAATTAACACTACAGATTTTGACCATTACAGGTCACATTTTCACTATTAGGAAGGCAATTCCCCATTTCCCTAGATTTAAAAATATGTTTCTGAAGCAATCACAATATTCCAGTATTTAAAAAACTTGAAGTTCAAGACCTCTACCAAGATGTACTCATGCCTCCTTTTTCAAAGCCTGTATCTCTTTCTAGTAAAACATTTAAGGTAATAGCTAGGCAGTGGTAAGATTTAGGTTGATGAGTCACCATATACATAGGCCACCCTTGCTTCTATCCCAAGTAGGAAGAGTTCTTCTTTCCACTTATTGTGACTTTGCAGAGCTTTGTGCCACTTGAGGTGGAAGTGCAATATTACACATATTCCTTCATATAAATCTTTTAGGTTTCCATATATTTAACAAAATATTTTTATGCACCTGATGCTCACATTCTCCAAATGTCTCAAGTCGTCATTTTGAAAGACATTTATTTTAAATATGGATGTAAGATCTCAGAATATTAATCTCGGCTTTGTCACTCATTTGAAAGTCATGAACACATCATTTATCAGTGTTTCGTATTTTCCTTTTCTGTGATCATTATTCTCACTGAAGTAGACGCAGAATTAATAATTGTAAAGGATGTTAGATGTTGTCAAGGAATATTTAACTTAATAGTCTAAGTGGCTTAATTTCTGTTAATCTCATAGTCCTTCTCTGTTTATAGCACATTCTGTATTTATCAGGGCAAAAATAAAATAAAATAAACAACCTCAAGTGTACTTTATAGAAAGTTACGGAGAGTAATTCCTCAACAAAAAAAGTCAATTGGTGACAAAGCTGGGAAAATCAATTGGGATTCAACATGTTCATCACACTAAGATGACCTGTTGGATGTTCACAGTCCTATCTCAATGTACATTTCTAGCTTGGTTGCCTCCTATTTTTGCATAAATTAATTATTAATAATGATACTAACAACAGCAAACTTTCAGGTAATATTATGTGCCAGACACTATTCTAAGTGCTTATGTATACTTACTCATTTAATAGTCAAATTGATAGTAAATATAATTATTATCCCTATTTTACAGTTGTGAAAATTGAGACAACAATAAGATAATTCATTTGAGTTCATACAACTAGTGAGTGGCAGAGCTAAGATTAAAAACCAGGCATTCTGGGTCCAGAATTTGTACTCTTAGCCACTATGATAGTATGATATAAGATAAATTAAGTACAGGCACATCACACACACACACACACACACACACACACACACACACACACAAGTGCCCTGCAAAGGGAGCTTTTTAAAAAGGTTCCCTACACCTATATGACCTAGAGGAAGACAAAGAATGTCTCTGGATGTCAACTTCCTCACTGGAAGAAATAAGACATTAAGACATTATTTTATACCACATTATGTTAAGGGACATTCTAAGGTTAGCATTTTATGATTCAAAGATTCTGTCTGTAGCATATGGCCTCTTTGCTTTTTATTGGCATAACTCAATACTAAAGCCAAGTATTCGTGTATTTCAAAGAAAATGCTAAAAGAGAATAAAAAATGACTCTCAGGCAATGAAGAGGCAGTAGTAGCTAGAATAGAGGAATGAGAATTTTACCTCACATATATCATGCTTCGAGCTTCCTGGAACATTCTTAAGACACAGTTTCCCTGAAGTTTTTCTATTCTCCCTACAACAATTTTTAGAGACTAAACTAGCAAACTAGGTTGATGAAATACCTATCATTCCTTCATATCAACACACAAAAATTAAACTTATGTATACGGTATAAGTAAAAATACATTTATATATACAGAAATTAAAAACTTTTTCCGTAGGGCCAAGCCACAGAACATAGTATCTTAATAGTGTCACAGAATACTTTGAGATTATGAAAATCTGAATGCTGTAAATCCCAATCAAAATTACACACTCTTCTGATAAACAGTACAGCCAAGTTAGTTCTATAATATGCATCCACAAGTACATAAAGCTGAACTTTAAATACATTTCAATCTCATACATATTCCCTTTATCATTTGGCTTAATTTTATAAAGCCATTATTTCCTTATTTCCAACTCTATAACTCCCTCTTTGCAATCACTGCCACGGCCAGTTATATTCAGTTCATTAGCTTTTTTCTCATTTGAAAATAGCTCAACCACTCTTAAAATTACTGTTTAATTCAAAAATTTTAAATAAGCTTTAACATTTTCTATATTTTAGTCAACTTCATAAAATAATAATTCTTCTGAACAAAATTATCACAAAGCAAGCCCCTGTTCTTAAAGGTGAATAAACATTTGACATAGTCACAAACTATAATTATTTCCATTGCAAAATTACAGATTTACTCAATGCATCCATATAAAAATGATGATGAACTTCAAAGAAAACTAGCTAACCTATAAAAATCTAACAGTATTCAAGCTAAAATAATCAGAAAAAAGTTTGTTAGAATAGCTGTTTTCTTAAATTCTTCACATATAAACTGTCACAGTATATTGAGAATGAATTTCCTAAAGTTCCAAGTTTAATTGTATTTAATTCTCAATTGTTAGAGAAAATAGAAATGTTAAGTCTCTTTAAAATTATTC
Source organism: Homo sapiens (assembly GCF_000001405.40). Taxonomy (NCBI): domain Eukaryota; kingdom Metazoa; phylum Chordata; class Mammalia; order Primates; family Hominidae; genus Homo; species Homo sapiens. The sequence goes on along the minus strand of NC_000004.12, from coordinate 95,051,963 downwards.
TAACAGAGTACTTAGAAAGCCTTGCCATAATAGAGAAAGTAGTAAAATTACAGGGCAGTTGGAGAATGGGGGATGGAACTTTATAGACATTGAACTTCTGGCCTGAACTTTCCCTTCTGCGATAAAAGCCACGAAATCAGACTCTAACTCAGCCCCATCAGCACTGTAGTGGAGGGCACTGATCTTCTTACCCCTTGTGTGCATAGAGAGAAGAATGAGCAAGAAAATGTGAAGCTGCCAGTTTAGTTCTTCCAGCCAACCCATTGCAGCAGCAGAGCAGTCAATGTGCCCTGCCTGTTTAAGCCTCCTGTTTCTTGCCTTTCCGTCTTTCACTGAGACGCCTCTGCTGCCACTCTTGTCAGATCTTCTCGCAAGCCTGCCAGCAACCCTGAGACAGGACCGTGAAAGACAAGCCTGTTACAAACTGGTTCTGTCACCACAGAGACTTCAACTGATCACCTCGTGGGGAGGACAACAAAGGGCGGTGAGGACCCTGAGCCGGATTGTTTTCTTAAGAAAGGAGCCTGACCCAGCTGCCCACACAAGGGCTAGCACACGCCGGGGCTTCACTCTGCGCTGGCAATACCCATGTCCCCCAAATCTCTCGGGCAGCTATGAAGGGAATCCATAGCAAACCTCATTTAAAACGCTGCTGTCATAAAATAGTTTGTTTCTTTTACCAACATTTTTATCTCTGCTAAGAATTTTAACTGAGAAATGTAAAAAGAAAACAAGAAATAATGTTTTTACTTAGTGAAATGCCAAAAATAGTGCAACAGATCAAAGTATTGTGTTACAGTAGTTTACTCACACTACGTCACCAGATAAATAATGAAGTGAATACCCTTGAATCAAGTGCACAGATATGAAAAGGGTCACATATAAAAGAAATCTCTAATGAATACTGCAAGTTAAGATACTTCAGTTATGACTATAGTTTTAAGAGCTGTTAACCTAACTGACTATTATATAAATAAAACCATTGCAAGTTTTTCCACTTTTTAGATTTTAACTGTAATTGTTTCTCAATGTAAATTATGACCATTTTTGTGACGTTTCATTTGCCATGATATTGAATGAGATAAAGAAATTTTTTCAAAATTGTTTTTGTTTTACTCTAAGAACTGTTAATAATAAAAGAACACCAAGAAAGATAAATGAATTGTCAGTATATGTAGAAACTACAATGCTACCATAGACAAATACAAAAAGACGTCATTATTAAATCCCATCAGTTTGTCTGATAAAGGATTTATGAGTAGAGTAGCAAATGTATTACAATGTTTATATCTAAGATATCATCATCATATGTTTACTTGATATTTTAAAAAATCTTTTCTTGGAAAAAGAATCTCTGCTTTCTTCTCACTTTCAAAAGACATCCCTCATTTGCCCCTACTCCTGACCCCATCCTGCACCTCCCAGCACTATTCCTCTAGGTACCATTCAAATCTACCCTCTAGCTTAGGAAACCCAACAATGTTTTTTTTGTTTTGATAATTTTACACATACTACAATCAATCAACACCCTCAATTTATACTTTCCTAAGTACTTTCATGAAATTTAAGCAAAATACAGAATTTTAACCATGTAGGAAACCTTAAACTACTCTAAGTTTACTAAACTACACATTCTGCATTTCACAGAAGCCATGCATCTTACTCGTCAGAAACATGGAGGTTGGTGGTAATTAAAAAGAACTGTCTTTGAGTAATATTTATCCATATCCCTTTTAGTTAGGAAAAGAGATTGGTATATAGTAAAATGAGTAAGGATGATCAGGAGCAGAGGGTTATGTGGGAAAAACAGACAAAAATCAAGCAATAGAATCTGCTTTTTAAACCTTCTATGTTGGGCTCAGAGCCACATTCACAACATGGTTCCACTGCCAATTTGGAATCCAGCCTTGAGCTCTGGGGCAAGAAGTGAATAGCTGAAATGTGGGACAGCTCCCACTGCTCACATTTCCCCAATATGGGCTTCTATAAATGGCTGAAAGTTAAAGACAGAATCTCTGCTCTCTCCCCAGAATCCTAATTCAGTTCAAAAGAACTCATATCAGCAACCATTTCTGATTTTGAACTATGTGCAAGCTGATTTGGTTCCTCAAGAAGGTTATAACACCACAGAATAAGTATATAAGAAATAATTAAGAAAAAATGTAAGACATTTTAAGATGAAGTGGCCCCAACAGAATAAACATGGAAATTCCAAGCAGACGATGGAACAGACTGGGCCCAGATTGCAGGGAGAGCTGGATGCTGAAAGACGAATTGAACTTATACAGCAATACAGAAGTTGAGAGGAAAGAAATTATATGAGCAAGGCTTACAGGTAGAAATGAATTTTCAATTTGTGCAACAGCATGAGTACAATCTTACTGGAACAGACAGCTCCTATTAGTAAGTGGTTGGAAAGAAAGCTAGACAGAGTGGAACCAAATTGTGCAGGACTCTGAATATAGGTTACAGAGTTTGGAATATATGAACTGCAAAAAAAAAAAAAAAAAAAAAAAAAAAAAAAAAAAAAAAAAAAAAAAAAAACTTTTATGCTGGGCACATTGGCTCGTACCTGTAATCCCAGCTACTTGGCAGGCTGAGGCAGGAGGATCACCTAAGGCCAGGAGTTCAATCCAGCCTGAGCAACATAGCAAGACCCTGTCTCTAAAATAATTTTTTTTAATTAGCTGGGTATGGTGGTTCACACCTGTACTCCCAATTATTGGGGAAGCTAAGATAGGAGGATTTTTTTAGGCCAGGAGTTCCAGCCTGCAGTGAGCTATGATCACACCACTGCAATCATGCCTGGGTGACAGAGCAAGACCCCATCTCCAAAAAGACTTCTGGACTTCAGCATGTAGGATGAATCTCTGAACCTCACCTTCCAACTAGGTGAGGGAGAGTGAAAACGAGATTAAACATGTGAGGAGAGGTTTCCACTTAGTCAAACTTCTTGCTAATGCCTATTTCTTTCATTTAGCAATATTTTAAAAAATCAAGACGTATCCCTGTTAATTTCCTCCATTTTAAATTTAATTATTAACATATGCTAGGTGCCAACAATGAAGGGGATCTTCTATAAATGGCATATTAGGCCCCTGACTACTTGGTTCAAAAAATCTCATGAAACTTACTATGTAGATCAAAAGTCTAATTTAGCAGAACCACCCAGATTTGCCTATGATTTAACCCTCTCACCCTAATGTACATATTTTTATCTACAGTTTACATTTTAATTTCCAATATCCAATCTAATTAAGCCTCTATCTGTACCAGGTCAAGAACTGGTTTCACAATTCCACAAGCAAAACACAAATAATCGCATTAAAAAGTGGGCAAACAACAGGAACAGACGCTTCTCAAAAGAAGACATACAAAAGGCCAAGAAACACATGAAAAGAATGTTCAACATCACTATCAGAGAAATGCAAATCAAAACCATAGTGAAATACCATCTTACACCAGTCAGAAAGGCTATTACTAAAAAGTCAAAAATCCACAAATGCTGGCAAGGCTGTGGAGAAAAGGGAATGCTTATACATTGCTTGTGGGAATATAAATTAGTTCAGCCACTGTGGAAAGCAGTTTGGAGATTTCTCAAACAAGTTAAAACAGTACTACCAACTACCATTCTACCCAGTAAAGCCATTACTGGGTATATATCCAAAAGAAAATAAATCATTCTACCAAAAAGACATGGGCACTTATATGTTCATCGCAGCACTATTGACAGTAGAAAAGATATGAAATCAACTGAGGTACACATCAGCAGTAGACTGGATAAAGAAAATATGGTACATATACACCATGGAATACTACAGTGTAATAAAAAAGAATGAAACCATAGCAACATTGATGCAGCTGGAGGGCATTATCCTAAGCAGATTAACACAGGAACAGATGTATCCCTATTATTGCATGTTCTCACTTAAAAGTGGGAACTTAACATTAGGTACACATGGACATAAAGATGGCAACAACAGACACTGGGGCCTACTGGAGTGGGGAAGGAGACACGCAGGCTCCCAAGGGTTGAAAAACTACTGGGTACTATGCTCACTACCAGGGTGACTGGATCAATTGTACCCCAAACCTCAGCAACACACAATATGCCCATGTAACAAACCTGCATGTGTGCCCTCTGAATCTAAAATAAAAGTTGAAATTATTTTTAAAATAAAGATTTAGTAACTGGATAACCAAGTAAATCAATGGTAGAATGGGAAAAATCTCCCTTTCAGAAGAATTCAAAAAATTTATATATTTAGATAGTCTCGCTCCATGAAGCAGAGCTTAATCAACCCCACCCTTGACTCTAAGCTGTGCTTAGTGACTTGCTTCCAAGGAGTACAGTATGAAAAGGAATATAACTTTACACTGGAATAACTGGCAAACACTCCCTTGGGCAGGTGATTGAGGTTAACATGACTGAAGACAAGCCATGCTGATAGCAGGTACCCCTGATATGATGAGAATGGCACTTCACCTCTGTGGTCTACCTCCTCAACACCCCAGTCTATGAGAAATACATCAGGCCAACTCCATTTCAGAAATATTCAATAAAATATCTGATCATCACTGCTTAAAACTATCAAGGAAAGTGTAAAAAAAGAGTTAAAAACCAACAGAGACTAAGATGACATGATGACTAAGTGCAAAGTGGTTTTCTAGATGGAATCCTTGAACAGAAAAAAATGGCATTATGGAAAGGGAGAGAGGAAACAAATCTGAATAAAGTTTGGAGCTTGGTTGCTGGTAATATACCATTGTTCCTTTCTTAGCTGTGACACATATACAGCCCCAAAGTAAGGTCAAATGTTAATAGCAGGGGAAACTGGGTGAAGGGTATATGAGGACTCTATATTACCTTTGGAAATTTTCTAAATCAATTATAAAATAAAAAGTTTATTTTAAAAAATGAGTTTCATAGCAGTTAAACATTCACTCCCAAATCTCCTAACTACAGAGTTGACTGCAGAGAAGGAACCAATGTGCCAAATGGTTATACACCTGCTTGTGCAGCTTTCATCACAGGTTCACTTAACTGCTCCAATAGATTCTATTTCAATTACATCTTTACCTACAAGAAGAAATATCAGAAAGGAGAATAACAATGGTTTATGTCTGAGGCGTTCTTCTTCTACTGAGATAGCCAACTTAATTTTGCAAGTTAATTTATATACCAAAGGAGTCTTCAAAGAAAGTTCTGAGAGAAGATTAAAAGAAAGGTCTCCATTTGAAAATGTACACCTGACAGAAGGGCAGAGGAAGGAAAAAGGAGCACTATGGAGAGTACTACTAATATGTGTAGGATATGTCATCACTGTATGTCATTTGCAGAGTTCTTACTAATGACATTCACACATTCTAGATTTACGGAGTCTTTGCTGTACAGTAGAAAGGGCCTATTTGTGCTATGTGTATAATCTGGGGCAGATTATTTAAACTCTCTGTTTGCTCATTACCTAACTGTTAAATTGTTATATGCACTAAATAAATGAAGGAATATAGACTACTGAATACAGTGCCCAGAATATAGGAAAATATCAGAAAATGTCAGTAATTTCCTGACAACTCTCACTAATCTCTCTCCTGCCTCTCACATGAAAAGCTTTGCCAATAAAAATAATGTTCTTTAATATAACAGGCTACAATGTAACATTTATCAAGTTGTTCCTGTCACAAACAGTGTGATCATTAAAACAAGGATACAAAGTATCTCTTAAGTCAAGATTTTAAAAATTCAATTAAAGCCGGACACAGTGGTTTGTACTTGGCTATAGTCCCAGTTATTAGGGAGGGTGAGGCAAGAGGGCTGCTTGATTGAGCCCAGGGGTTCGAGACTAGCCTGGGCAATACAGCAAGACCTCACCTCAAAAAAAAAGTCAAATTATACCTGAAAAACTAAATATTTATTCAAATCAATTCATTTTCATTTAATTCATTAAATATTCATGCATTTGAAGTAGAAGTATACTGAAGAATTTTAAATTGAGACTACCTTGCTACCAATTTCAATTTGTGATTCATTTTCACACAGAAACTCCCCAAATCTCCTGATCTTATGTTTATATACAGTTTTTATCTAAAAAACATTCACTATTTGCTATATTTGGGGGGATCGTGTCTACTGAATGGATGTGAGAACATTAAAAAGAGACAGCACTTGCCTTCAGGACAAAGCTTATCCTCTAGTGGGTGAAGACAAACATACAATCCAGTAATGACAATGCAGTACAGTAACTGCCTGCTATGCTGAGGAAACATGGAAAAAACAGTGAATAAACAAAGATTAATTCTGCCTGAGGGTGAGGGTTGGACTTGCGTGGGGGAGGCATTTGAACTGGGTCTTCAAAGATAAGTAGGAATTCACTGGGTGAAGGGAAGGCAAAGGAATCCTAAGCAAAGAGAACAGGCAGTACAGTACATTTATGAGTAAGAAAAAAAGTAGTGCTTGCAGAGAACACGAGAAGCTCGATATGCCTAGAGAGCAGGGGAATTAGGCTGGAAAAGTAGACTGGGGAGGTTAGGAAGAGCCTTGTAGCCCATAATTAGAAGTTTTGATTTTATCCTACACACATGGGAAGCAATGTCTTCATTTCTGGAGGTAAGCACAGGTTACTTTCCATTGTGCAAACTGACAGCTACTACTTCTTGCAGCTCATTATATTTCAAGGGAAACTAATAAAGTTTTGGAGATAAGATGAAAAATATTTTCCTTTGTATCTAAGAAAACATAATAATATATTTGTTATTCTTAATGAGAACAATAAGGTGAGTGTTATTTTCTTTACCATGTAAACATCCCTGCTAATACTGTTTGGAATAAAATTTACTTTTTAATTAAACTTCTGTTCCAACACACAGGCACATTAATAACAACAGTTATTGCCTTCTTCCAATTGGAAGCCACAGCCTTTTAGGTCCTACCAAGAGCTTTGCACTAAAATGTTTTTCAAACTTTCATACATGTTGTACCAAAAACAAAAGTGCCCTCAGAACTGCACTGGTATTTGGTTTTATTATTCTGGCTTTTAACTAAACACTTACATACTATCATAAAAAACTACTCCACTATGAGAAAAAAAAACTAACAATAGAGCCCACAGTACAAAAACTTTTTTCCTGACTTTGGAGTTTATAAAGACCACAACTTCAGCCCTCTTTCAGGCTGCCTCCTGCCTCCCCACCCCGTTCTAATTTGCAGCATTCCACATCACTAGTCATTAACAACCCAAAGCTCCCTTCAGCTGCAGAGTGAAAGACCATCACATTATTACAAATAAACAATCCCTTTCTCCCTTGAACGAGCGACACATTATTCTGAGCACGTCTTCTCTCTGCTTTCATTGCTCTGCCAAGGTCCTCCATGAGTGGGAAGGGGTAAAAAGAGAGAAAAAATATCCCACAACTTGTCTAAAGCATGTAGAGGAGGATTTGTGTTCTTACTTACGGGATATGACTGTCACTGTTGATCTGCTTTCAGGCCTAGATTACATGTGATAAGGGCTGACCTTCTTTAAGTATTCACACATTATGCACTCATGGAGAGCAGGCAGGACACAAAAGTCCTTCAGATGTTCTGGGCATCAATCAAGTGCACAGCATGGAGCCTGCCAAACTTTTCTTCCATTTACTCAGGGAGAGGAAGGGGGAGTCCAAGACAGACTTAATAAAGTTTAAAGCTATGCCACAATATATTTGGGGAGACCATTGTTATTAAAAGGGTGCTGTTTCAAAAAATTCTCTATAGTTACCACTGGCAACAAAAACAATTCGCATACAAATATAAAGAGACAACCAGATTTCATTCCAGCTTTAAAATTTCAAAACTTTTGTTATAAACCAGGTCTCAATGGCTTTAGCAGATTCCTATTTTCTTTCCTGAAGACATTTTATTAAGTATATATTTCAAAAACCAAAAATATAAATTTTCTTTTATAACAATCATACTCAAAACATATTTTAAGTCATTTATAAAATAGAGGACATACATTTGTTACAAAATTGAGCATAGCTAAATAAACTGAAGACAAGTCAACAACACAAACCATTTTTCACCTAATACAAATACTGTCATTACTAGCAAGAGCTCCAATATTATAGTGTAGATATGATGATATCTTCTGATACAGGCTTCTAATGTTTGTGTTTTATTGTTGCCCCTCCCCACAGCTCATTCCAGGAATTTGAGGTAGCTTTCGAAAAAGAAAAAATAAGCCCCAAACTGTGTTCTCTTAAAATATTGCAACACTCCATACTTGGAGGGCATCATTTCAGCATCAGCACAATCAAATCCATCAGACAAAGATGCTTCATGGAATTTGATGATAGAATGATACCTTAAATCTACTACAATATCATTTACCTAGAGATCACAAAATTCTTTTTAAAAGCTAATGTCATGTTATGAATATAATAATTATATGCATGGCCTGTGCACAAAATAAGAAGATTAGACACAAAGGTTTACAAAACAATTCATGAGACAACAAGGCAATGAACATTAAAAGAGTAGGAAGAGAATTCAAGGTAACTTACATGATTAAACTACCAAAGAAAATTAACTTAGTAAATTTGCTAATTAAAACAACAGCAACAAACCCTCCAGATTGCCTCTATATATGCATGATTCTTGCATGGATCTTTAGTTTATTATTTGGTTTTAGCGGTATGCTACTAAAAGACCATGAGGTCAGACTTGCACCCTAGTAACAGGGAACTAGGTGATAGATAAACTGTGAGGTAATTCTTTTTTTTTTTTTTTTTTTTTTTTTTTTTTGAGACGGAGTCTCGCTCTGTCGCCCAGGCCGGACTGCGGACTGCAGTGGCGCAATCTCGGCTCACTGCAAGCTCCGCTTCCCGGGTTCACGCCATTCTCCTGCCTCAGCCTCCCGAGTAGCTGGGACTACAGGCGCCCGCCACCGCGCCCGGCTAATTTTTTGTATTTTTAGTAGAGACGGGGTTTCACCTTGTTAGCCAGGATGGTCTCGATCTCCTGACCTCATGATCCACCCGCCTCGGCCTCCCAAAGTGCTGGGATTACAGGCGTGAGCCACCGCGCCCGGCCGAGGTAATTCTTTATGTTAATCATTACAGAGTAAACCATCACCTGGAAAATATGACTATCTCAGGCAAGAAACTGAACCAGAATGAGAGGAAGATGTCTTGGCAGGAGATGGAAAGCAAGAAACTCAGGCAAGGCGAGTGTAGTTATTTCCAGATAGAACATAGAATGATGACAGCTAGGATCATGATGACAACAATGATAATGATCATGATACATACTATTTGGCCATCTTTTACTGTTTGTGAGGCACTACGTGTGTACTTAACATACAGGTTTAAGCATCCCTTATTTAAAATGCTTGGGGCCAGAACTGCTTTGGATTTCAAAGATTTTTGCATTTTGGAATTTTTACATAAACATAAGATATCTTGGGGATGGGACCCAAGGGTAAACATGAAATTCATTTATGTTTCACATGCACCTTATAGACATAGTCTGAAGGTAATTTTATACAATATTTTAAAATTTTTTTTGCATGAAATGAAGTTTGTATACATCAAGCCATAAGAGAACAAAGGTGTCACTGTGTCAGCGACTCTTACAATCTGTTTGTTTGGCATCACCATTATCTCTGACTCTCAATTTGTACATTATCAATAAGCAATCATTTTCTCCCACTTATTCACACGTAGGTACCTAACAGTAAAAATTATGACATACCGTTAATACAATAAAAATGTGTCAGGTGTAGAATTTTCCACTTACCGTATTAGGTGGGTACTCAAAAAGTTTTGGATTGGCTGGGCATGGTGGCTCACGCCTGTAATCCCAGCACTTTGGGAGGCCGAGGCGGGTGGATCACGAGGTCAGGAGATCGAGACCATCCTGGCTAACAGAGTGAAACCCCGTCTCTACTAAAAATATAAAAAATTAGCCGGGCGTGGTGGCTGGCGCCTATGGTCCCAGCTACTCAGGAGGCTGAGGCAGTAGAATGGCATGAAGCTCCGGGAGGTGGAGCTTGCAGTGAATTGAGATCGCACCACTGCACTACAGCCTGGGCGACAGAGCAAGACTCCGTCTCAAAAAAAAAAAAGTTTTGGATTTTGGAGTATTTCAGATTTTGGATTAGGGATGCTCACTCTGATTATTTCATTTAATCCTCACTGCCACCCTGTGCGGGAGGAAATATCATTCCCAATTTAGATAAGAATACTGTGTATGCCTAAGATAAAAGCCCTGAGAACTGGTTAAGAATTCATTGGATCAGACACCAATACTTCACTAGGTAGGGACCCAGATATTTTTGTTCTAGAAGAAATATCTGGGGCCAAAAAAAAAAAAAGTCCATTCAGTGGATGGAGGACTCCAAGAATCTGGGAGGCTGGTAAGATTCACTCAGCAAACATGACTACCAGAAAGTCTGAGGGCTGGAGCAAAAAAGGAGGGTCAGATATTCTAAATTCCAAATCTGTAGATTCAGAGGAGGTAACAATAAGCACTGTGTCATGCAACAGCAGTGCCTTCAGAGGTCAGGAGTTTCCAACCCATGGCGGGTGGAACTCTCCTCTAAAGCGTGTAAAGTGTTTATTATAAAAAAAAATTATAGACCACGCGTGGTGGCTCACACCTGTAATTCCAGCACTTTGGGAGGCCGAAGTAGGAGGATCGCTTGAGCCCGGAAGTTCAAGACCAACCTGGGCAACATAGGAAGACCTTATCGCTACTAAAAACAAAAAAAAATTAGCCAGGTGTGGTGGTGCACGACTGTATTCCTATTTACTCAGGAGGCTGAGGTGGGAGGATCACTTGGGCCCAGGAGGTTAAGGCTGCAGGGAGCCATGATCGTGCCAATGTACATCAAATACATATATTGTCATTAACATAAAGCAGTATTTTATATACATTCTTAATAACTTTCTCAAAGACCTTTCTAATCAACTAAGGAGAGTGAGGTGCCAAGGAATTGAGGAAAGGGTTTTTTCTTCCTTGCATAGGCCTGTACTTTAGGAGGTACAGCGAGGCAGCACTGCAGGCTTAGAAGGCACACGAGTGGATGAATAAAGTTACCAGAGCCACGTAATGTAGTCCTTCACTCACTGGAAGAGTCTGAGTTTGTTTTAACAAAACAAGCTGTTTTCTTCACACCAAGAGAACTTTCTAGAAGATTTCATTTGTCCCGCTTGTAAGGAACTACTTATAAAGGGTTTGTGTTTGATTTTTAGATAACAACAGATACACACTGACATTGTAATTATTCACACTTCGACTCCTGGAGTCCACAAGTTAAAGTTATACACTATAAAAACCATGAACCATTGAGCTAATAACCTGACTTGCCAGAAGCTCTATTTGAAAGAGATTCTAAGGACATTTTCTTCTTTACCAAATTAGTGCTAAAGCATCCCTAAGCAGAAAATCAAAATCTCTATTACCCACTTGCCATTTATAAAAAGCTGAACAGTTTCCTATCAAAACCAATTTCTTAAAAAGGATTGCTATAACTCTTATTTCATCCTAAAGTCAATTGTGCATAAAATTTATGTAAATCCAACTTGAACTGATATAAAATAAGTCAATTGAAAATGAAATTTTAAATAGATGTAATAATATCAACACCAACTATACTTAACACAAAAGGATTTAAAGTATCACTCTTATCTAAACCCTTAAAGAATGTTTGCTTAAGCTGTTTCTCCATACACCATATGAAAATAGCTACTAGAAAATCTGTTTTCAACTATTTGGAAAATATCTAAATATAAGAATTACATATGAAAAAAGTGTCTTAGAAGAGAAGATACTAATAGTAGAGAAAAATTTTGTTCTTGTATACCACATACCAGTTTTTCCATAGAAACCTCAACAGTGCTACGAAATATCAGTCCTATGGATCTACACATTTAGTAGTAGACTTAGCTGTTACTAACCTTCAAAAATTAATGCTAGAGGAAATATAAAGGTTTCAGGAAGTTAATTTTTATTTAAGGTGGCATTTTAAATCTATGTGCATATAAAAGTATTTTCAAATAAAAGAAACAATGATGCCATGATTTTTGGTTCAGAGTCATGACATGCTACCAGGGGTGTCCAATCTTTTGGTTTTCCAGGGCCATACTGGGGGAACTGTCTTGGGCCAAATAGAAAATACACTACACTACACACTACACTGATGAGCTAAAAAAAATTGCAAAAAAAATCTCATAATGTTTTAAGAAAGTTTACAAATTTGTGTTGAGCCTCATGGCCAAGCATGGGCTGCATGTGGTGCACAGGCTGTGGGCTGGACAACAAGGTTGTGCTAAACCTTTTCATCTCTCTCACACACATATTTCCGTATCTTCCCTTACCTGCTCTTAGAAACATGGCACACCTGCTTACTGCCTTTATTTGTTTTTTATGAGAAATAGCAGCTCTTCGTAATCTCATTAAAGCCTTTCTAACATAACAGATTCTACACATGGAAAACTTTCAGAACACTGGGGATTGGTTTGGATGCTTAAACAAGTAGATTGTGTAAAAAAAAAAAAAAAAAGAAGAAGTAAAATGAACCCCATGTACAAACTTCATTTAATCAGAAAATTTCACAGCACAGAGACACCAGACTTTAGCTTTAGTGAAACCTAAACTTTAAGATGGAGATACTACATTCTCTGCCTTGTCTAGAGCATTACAGCAAAAGCATAAGATATTTAATGTGCACGAAATAAGAGAAGTAAGAAACTCAAGTTATGGAGGTAAAGAGGACGAACTTTAGTGATCACGATATCAGATAAAACCAGTGACGCATCTGACACAAAGACAATTCTCTACTAATAAAAATGGAAAAATATAAAATTCTATTACTATTCTTGTCAATATAAGAGCCTTAGTTACAGAGACATTCCTTTATCCGATCACCTTGTTCTACACATCTTATTACGGTTAGTCAGAACTCTTATGTGGTTATGTCTGTACCGCCAAACACCCAGCTGAAAAGTGAAAAATTTAGTCAAGCAGTGAGTTATCCTAAGGTTTATGCCAAATGAAACATTCAAATTCAACCTTAACCAAAATGAGTAAAGCCTGTATTTAGCCAGATGATTTAAGATCCATTAAGACCACCAATGTGATTTAAATTGTCACCATAATTTCCTCTCTGAGGTCTCCCAAAAGTTTACAGTGGAAGCACTTCAGAGTCCTCACTACATCTCATTAGCACCTCTAACAAAGGATGTGTGAAGAAAAAAAGAGAAGCAAGGACATTCAAAAGGAGTAACTGCTATTTTAGAAACATTTTCTTTAAACGTATTTTTAATTTTTTATTAAAATGGTATGTGTATAATCAGAAATTGACAAATTGAACCAAAAATATTTATGAAGTTAGGCAAAAGAACCATAAATTATTCATCATAATTTTTCCTCTGCCTTTTCAATAGAGGATTTGGCCTCACTCTACATTGGTTGCATAACATTATCTCTTTGTGTTGGTTTTTAGATGATCACTTTCTGGGAGTACAAATAGAAATAGCCTATGGAAATAAAGCTTGATGTCTTTCTGAATTGTGTGAGAAGCTTTAGACGAAACTCAGGCTGGGCTACAGAAAATATAAGAGAGTTGCCAATCCTAGACCGGATGCTTATGATGTCCTTGCAAAATCCTTTCAATAGCTGGCAATGCTCCACAAGATCTGGCTTCCAATTGCTACCTCACTGGGCTCTTTTTCTCCCCCTTCTTCATCCTGTTCCTCAAACATACAAGGCATGATCCAGCTCAGAGCTTTGTGTCTCCTGATTCTTCTGCCTAAAATGCTCTTCTCTTCAATATCTAAAAGGTCCCTCCATTGACTCCTTCAAATCTTGGCTCAATTCTTGCCTTCTCATTGAAAGGTACCCTAGTACTCTATTTACTACTACAACCACCCCATTCCCAAACTCTCAATCCTCCTTACACTGCTTTATCTTTTTTTCTCCATAGCACTTAACACCTTCTAACTACTACATAATTTGCTTACTATGTTTATTGTTAACTGTCTCCCCCTCAGCCCCACTTGAGTACAAAACCCTCAGGGCATAGCTCTTTTTCCACTTTGTCCACTTACGTTCCCCCAATACTTGAAACAGCGACTATGTAATACGTATTCAAGAAGTCTTTTTTCAAACTCTCTCCTTTGTAAAGCCCTATCTCTCTCTTTCTAAAGTATATGACCCCTCATGTCATCAATTATTCTCATACCAATTACTTTTTTCTTCCAAATCCTGGCTTGCCCTCTGGTTTCTCTACCTACCATATTTATGAATTTCTTCTTCCAAAGGTCAACAAATGTACTTTTCTTAGTCTTTATCCTTTTCATCCTTACATAACTCTGGGCTTCCTTTCTTAAGAGTACTTCCCTTCTTGAGAGCCTCACTCATTTAAAAGAATACTGAACAAATACAACGTACTAGTCATCTGCTAGAAGCTCATCCTTTGGTTTTCATGATGAGGGACTATCTATCCATGTGCTTTTCCTTTTCCATTCACACAAGTATAGGTGATAATGATTCTTTCCAATAACCTCTTTTCTCAAACATGTTCCCTAGTAATATCAGGGCTTCGGTTTACATCATTTCATCTACCAGGGAAAATACTTTCCTGAATGACCACCTTATATTTCTCTCTGGCAATGCAAATCTAAATATTGCTATTTCTCCTACAGCTGTTCAAATACCTCCCCCAGCTCCATGGATATAGCCATTCTTTGCAACCACTTAGCTTTAAGCCCTGCCCCCATCCTATTTGTTGGGCATTTTCTAATGCTGGGAGGTAGCACTCCACTAACACGGAAGCTGAAAAAGTCAGATACTCACTTTCATAGCTTCTGTAGCTAGGACATGAGTACAGGACTGAAATTCTCCAAATCATATGTACCCGTCCCAGACTTTACAGGAAACTAACAAGAAAAAACCTCAGGTCATTCATGCTAACTGTTGGTGGTGGGAGTAGCAGCAGCTACATTGATTTTCGAAAGGCAACAGCAGCACCAGTTTTAGTGGCAGCATCCAGATCTAGGGTTGACAACGTGGGCAGCAAAACTGGGGTGTCTAAGGCAATAACAAATGCCGACAAGGATGTAGAGAAAAGGGAACCCTCGTACACTGTTGGTGGGAATGTAAATTACTACAACCACTACAGAAAACAGTTCAGATATTCCTCAAAAAACTAAAACTAGAGCTACCATAAAATCCAACAATCTCACTACTAGGTAAATATCAAAAAAAAAAAAAAAAAAAGGAAATTGTATATTGAAGAGATATCTGCACGCCCATGTTTATTACAGCCATGATAGCCAAGATTTGGAAGAAACCTAATTGTCCATCAACAAATGAATGGATAAAGAAAATATGGTACATACACACAGTAGAATACTATTCAGCCATGAAAAAGAATGAGATCCTGTCATTTACAACAACGTAGCTGGAACTGGAGATCATTATGTTAAGTGAAATAAGCCAGCCACAGAAAGACAAACTTTGCATGTTCTCACATATTTGTGAAAGCTAAAAACTAAAACGATGAACTTCGTGGACAAAAAGGGTATAGGATGTTTGTTACCAGAGACTAGGAAGGGTTTTGGGGGTAGGAAGAGTGAAGATGGTTAATGAGTACCAAAAAAACAGTTAGAGAGAAATTAATTTAAAATAGCACAACACGGTGACTACAGTCAATAATAATTTAATTATACATTTTAAAATAATGAAAAGAGTAAAACTAAGGATAAATGCTTGAGGTGATGGATACCCCATTTGCCCTGATACGATTATTACACATTGTATGTCTATATCAAAATATCTCATATATCCCCAAAATCAATGAACACAAATTAGTAGCACTACTATACACCAACAATGACCAAGCTGAGAATCAAATCAAGAACTCAACTCCTTTTATGATAGCTGTAAAAAATAAAATAAAATACTTAGGAATATACCTAAACTGGGAGGTGTAAGATCTCTACAAGGAAAACCACAAAACTCTGCTGAAAAAATCATAGATGACACAGACAAATGGAAATACATACCATGCTGGTGAATGGCTAGAATCAATATTGTGAAAATGACCATATTGCCAAAAGCAATCTACAAATTCAATGTAATTCCCATCCAAATATCATCATCGTTCTTCACAGAACTAGAAAAAACAATCCTAAAATTCATATGGAACCACAAAAGAGTCTGTATAGACAAAGCAAGGCTAAGAAAAAAGAACAAATCTGGAGGGATCACATTACCTGACTTCAAACTATACTGCAAAGCTACAGTTACCAAAACAGTGTAGTACTGATATAAAAACAGGCACATAGACCAATGGAACAGAATAGAGAACCCAGAAATAAAGCCAAATATTTAAAGCCAACTGATCTTCAACAAAGCAAATAAAAGCATAAAGTGGGGGAAAGAACACCCTATGCAACAAATGGTGCTGAGATAATTGGCAAACCACATGTAGAAGAATGAAGCTGGATCCTCACCTCTCATCGTACACAAAAATCAACTCGAGATGGATCAAAAACTTAAATCTAAGACCTGAAACCATAAAAATTCTAGAATATAACATTGGAAAAACTCTCCTAGACATTGGCTTAGGCAAAGAGTTCATGATCAAGAATCCAAAAGCAAATGCAACAAAAACAAAGATAAATACATGGGACCTAATTAAACTAAAAAGCTTCTGCAAAGCAAAAGAAATAATCAGTAGAGTAAACAGATATCCCACAGTGTGGGAGAAAATATTCATAAACTATGCATCTGACAAAGGACTAACATCCAGAATCTACATGAAACTCGAACCAGCAAGAAAAAAACAAATAATCCCATTGAAAAGTGGGCAAAGGGCATGAATAGACAATTCTCAAAAGAAGATAAACAAATAGCCAACAAACATATGAAAAAAATGTTCAACATCACTAATTACCAGGGAAATGCAAATTAAAACCACAATGAGATACAACCTTACTCCTGCAAAAATGATCATGATTAAAAAATTTAAAAATAAGAGATGTTGGCATGGATGTGGTGAAAAGGGAACAACTAGTATACTGCTGGTGAGAATGTAAACTAGTACAACCGCTATAGAAGACACTATGGAAATTCCTTATAGAACTAAAAGTAGAACTACCATTTGATCCAGCAATACCGCTCCTGTGTATCTACCCAGAGGGAAAAAAAAGTTATTATATGAAAAAGCCACATGTACACACCTGTTTATAG
The DNA here is from genome assembly GCF_000001405.40 of Homo sapiens. Taxonomy (NCBI): domain Eukaryota; kingdom Metazoa; phylum Chordata; class Mammalia; order Primates; family Hominidae; genus Homo; species Homo sapiens. Next base: position 95,034,727 of record NC_000004.12, on the reverse strand, counting down.
CAGCACAATTCACAGTTGCAAAAATATAAAACCAGCCCAAATGCCCATCAACCAAAGAAAACATGGAGCATATATATATATATATAAACATGGAATACTACTAAGCCATAAAAAAATGAAACAATGGCATTCACAGTAATCTGGATGGAGCTGGAGGCGGTTATTCTAAGTGAAATAATTCAGGAATGGACAACCAAACATTGTATTTCCCACTTATAAGCAGGAACTAAGCTACAAGGATGCAAAGGCAGAAGAATGATATAATGGACTTTGGGGACTCTGTGGGATGGGTGGGAAGGGGTGAGGGATAAAAGACTACACACCGGGTACAGTGTACACTGCTCAGGTAATAGGTGCACCAAAATCTCAGAAATCACCACTAAAGAACTTTTCTATGCAAGCAAAAACCACCTGTTCCCCTAAAACTACTGAAATAATAATAAATATCTCATGTATCCAATAAACATATATACCTATTATGTACCCACAAAAATTAAAAATTGAAAATAAAAAACTAAGTGTGTATATATGCTAAGCTTGGTGACAATGGTGCCAGGATAAATTCTGAGGTGAAATTTTAAATACTGTTCTTGGTTGTGTCTCTTCTAACTGATTCTCCTATCTTTCCAGAGAGTCTATGAGCTAGCAAACATCCTCTTAATAACTTTATTTCCTGTGTAAATTAATCATGGTTGATGTCTGTTGCTTTCAGCTGAAAAATTTGATGGATCTGATGGATACATTCAGGAAGATTCCATTGGTAATCTCAGCAGAAATAATTGCTTCCTCTTCTGAACTTCCATAATACTTATTTTTCCTTGTATTATAATTATGCACGCCATCTTCCTCACTATATGTTACATTTCCAGGGGTGGGAGGGAGTGACTGTCTTTCATCTTTGTCCATGCTTTTAACAATTACCTCTTTATCTATCTTTGATATCTTTAAAAAATAAACAAAACATTGCAGGTATCTTCTTTCTAGCTCAGGAAGCTGGTCTAAGCTCCTCCTCTAAGTTTCACCATTCTGTTCCTGGAAATGCCTCCATGTCTAACTTACTTAGTATGTCTCCAAGATTCTGCCTTAACTTAGGCCATTCCCTCATTTCCACACTAAAACGCTTTTGCTCTGGCATTGTATGTAGAGTAAGTATGCCAAGACCATTCAAAAGGGAAAAGAGAGTCTTTCCAACAAATGGTATTGGAAAAACTGGATATCCACCTGTAAAAGAAGGAAGTTGGAGACTTATCTTATACCATAATGGAAAAATTACCTCAAAGTGGATTAAAGACCTAAACATAAGAGCTAAAACTATAAAACTCTTAGAAGAAAACACAAAGGCAAAGCTTCATGACATTGCACTTGACAGTGATTTCTTGGATATAACACCAAAAGCACAGGTAACAACAGGAAAAAAAAAAAAGATAAACTGGACTACTTTAAAATTAAAAACTTCTATGCAAAGGATGCAATCAACACAGTGAAAAGGCAACCTAAGGGATGGAAGAAAATATGTAAGTCATACATTTGATGAAGGGTTAATATTGAGAATATATAAAAATCTTCTACAACTCAACAACAACATATGAACAACCCAGTTAAAAAGTGGACATTTCTCTTAGGAAGATATAAGAACTGCCAATATGCTCACGAAAGTCACTAATAACTAGGTAAATGCAAATCAAAACCACAATGAGATACTACCTCACATGAATGGGTACTATCAAAAACACAAAATAACAAGTGTTGGTAAGAATGTGGAGAAACTGGAGCCTTTGTGCACTGTTGGAGGAAATGTAAAATAGTGTGGCAGCTATGGAAATAGTATGGCAGTTTCTCAAAAATTAAGACTTGAAAGCTGTGTCTCAAAGACCTATTTGTATGCCCATGTTCACAGCAGCATTATTCACAATAGCCAAAAGGTGGAACCAACCCAATGGATCATCAGTGTCCATCAATGGATGAAAAGATAAATGAAATGTGGTCTACACTACAACAGAATATTATTCAGCCTTAAAAAGGAAGAAAATTCTGACACATACTACAACATGGATAAACTTTAAGGATATTAGGCCAAGTGAAATAAGCTAGTAGCAAAAACATTAAAGATTGTATGCTTCTACTTAAATGAGCTATATAGAGTCAAATTCATAGAGACAGAAAGTAGAATGGTTGTTGCCAGGAGCTAGGAGAGGGAAAATAGGAAGTAGTTGTTTAATAGATATAAAGAATGTTATGGACTGAATGTTTGTGTCCCTTCAAAATTCATATGTTGAAGCCTCCCTACTTCCCGTGTTACAGTATTTAGAGGTGGGGCCTTTGGGAAGCAATTTGGTTTAGATGTCATCATGAGAGTAAGGACCCTATCACAGAATTAGTGTCCTTATAAGAAGTGGAAGAGAAACCAGGTATTGCTTGCACATACACTTGCTCACACCTGTGCATGCCCGCTCTCTCTCACTCTCTCTCTCTCTCCCCCAGTCATGTGAGGACACAGCAAAATGGTAGCCAGCTGCAAACCAGGAGGCAGGAGCTCACCAGGACCAGGAACAGAAGCTTCAAGCCCCTTGATCTTGCATTTCCCAGTCCCCAGAACTGTGAAAAATAAACGTCTGTTGTCTAAGCTATCCAGTCTGTGGTATCTTGTGATAGCAACCTGAGTAGACTAAGAGTTTTAGCTTCTCCAAATGAAAAGAGCTCCAGAGACTGGCTGCACAACAATGTGAATATACTGAATACTACTGTAACATAAATGATTAAGATGAGAATCGTTATGTTACAGTATTTTACCATTTTTCTTTGAGACATTAGTCCTGCTCTGCCACCCAGACTGGAGTACAGTGGCACGACCATTCTCACTGGAGCCTTGAACTCCTGGGCTCAAGCAATCCTCCCACCTCAGTCTCCTAAAGTGCTGAGATTACAGGAGTGAGCCACCCTGTCCAGTCAAAACAATTTTTAAGAGTATTTTTTTAAACCCCTTTGTTCAACCTGGATTTCCAGGATACCATAATCCATACTGGTGAATCAAGGAGTTGTTTTTCTACTCCTATCCCCATGATCCACGTTGCAGTCACAGTAGCTTCTTAAAATCCTGCAATGATAGCTAGGCATGGTGTTGTGTCCCTGTAGTCCCAGCTACTTGAAAAGCTGAGGTGGGAGAATTGCTTGAGTCTAGGAGTTCAAGGCTATAGTACACTATGATTGCATCTGTGAATAACCATTGCACTCCAGCCTGGGCAACTCAGCAAGACCCTGTCTCAAAAAAAATATATCTGCAATCCATCCATAATATTCTCTGTATGTGATCCAAGTTTCTGAAAACAGAAGCATCTGTGCTGCCTAATTCTCAAGTTCCACCTCACATGTACCTCAGGGTCCAGTCATGTCATTCCACTCCCGATCACATTCCTCTCTAATGTGCCATATTCTCTCTCAGCTCTCAATTCAATTCCACATAATTTCATCAAATATGCTCTCTGCATTGAGAACTAGGAGAATATATGTAGATTAACTAGAAGATATATAGATTAAGAAAATGTTTCTGTTCTCTATCTCTGTTTTGGTACCAGTACCATGCTGTTTTGGTTACTGTAGCCTTGTAGTATAGTTTGAAGTCAGGTAGTGTGATGCCTCCAGCTTTGTTCTTTTGGCTTAGGATTGACTTGGCGATGCGGGCTCTTTTTTGGTTCCATATGAACTTTAAAGTAGTTTTTTCCAATTCTGTGAAGAAAGTCATTGGTAGCTTGATGGGGATGGCATTGAATCTATAAATTACCTTGGGCAGTATGGCCATTTTCACGATACTGATTCTTCCTACCCATGAGCATGGAATGTTCTTCCATTTCTTTGTATCCTCTTTTATTTCGTTGAGCAGTGGTTTGTAGTTCTCCTTGAAGAGGTCCTTCACGTCCCTTTTAAGTTGGATTCTTAAGTATTTTATTCTCTTTGAAGCAATCGTGAATGGGAGTTCACTCATTATTTGGCTCTCTGTTTGTCTGTTATTGGTGTATAAGAATGCTTGTGATTTTTGTACATTGATTTTGTATCTGGAGACTTTGCTGAAGTTTCTTATCAGCTTAAGGAGATTTTGGGCTGAGACAATGGGGTTTTCTAGATATACAATCATGTCATCTGCAAACAGGAACAATTTGACTTCCTCTTTTCCTAATTGAATACCCTTTATTTCCTTCTCCTGCCTAATTGCCCTGGCCAGAACTTCCAACACTATGTTGAATAGGAGTGGTGAGAGAGGGCATCCCTGAACAGAACAGAGCCCTCAGAAATAACACCACATATCTACAACTATCTGATCTTTGACAAACCTGAGAAAAACAAGCAATGGGGAAAGGATTCCCTATTTAATAAATGGTGCTGGGAAAACTGGCTAGCCATATGGAGAAAGCTGAAACTGGATCCCTTCCTTACACCTTATACAAAAATTAATTCAAGATGTATTAAAGACTTAAACATTAGACCTAAAACCATAAAAACCACAGAAGAAAACCTAGGCATTACCATTCAGGACATAGGCATGGGCAAGGACTTCATGTCTAAAACACCAAAAGCAATGGCAACAAAAGCCAAAATTGACAAATGGGATCTCATTAAACTAAAGAGCTTCTGCACAGCAAAAGAAACTACCATCAGAGTGAACAGGCAACCTACAAAATGGGAGAAAATTTTTGCAACCTACTCATCTGACAAAGGGCTAATATCCAGAATCTACAATGAACTCAAACAAATTTACAAGAAAAAAACAAACAACCCCATCAAAAAGTGGGCAAAGGATATGAACAGACACTTCTCAAAAGAAGACATTTATGCAGCCAAAAGACACATGAAAAAATGCTCATCATCACTAGGCCTTAAGAGAAATGCAAATCAAAACCACAATGAGATACCATCTCACACCAGTTAGAATGGCAATCATTAAAAAGTCAGGACACAACAGGTGCTGGAGAGGATGTGGAGAAATAGGAACACTTTTACACTGTTGGTGGGACTGTAAACTAGTTCCACCATTATGGAAGTCAGTGTGGCGATTCCTCAGGGATCTAGAACTAGAAATACCATTTGACCCAGCCATCCCATTACTGGGTATATACCCAAAGGATTATAAATCAAGCTGCTATAAAGACACATGCACACGTATGTTTATTGCGGCACTATTCAAAGTTCCACAAAGACTATTATAGCAAAGACTTGGAACCAACCCAAATGTCCAACAATGATAGACTGGATTAAGAAAATGTGGCACATATACACGATGGAATACTATGCAGCCATAAAAAATGATGTGTTCATGTCCTTTGTAGGGACATGGATGAAACTGGAAATCATTATTCTCAGTAAACTATCGCAAGGACAAAAAACCAAATACCACATGTTCTCACTCATAGGTGGGAACTGAACAATGAGAACACATGGACACAGGAAGGAGAACATCACACTCTGGGGACTGTTGTGGGGTGGGGGGAGGGGGTAGGGATAGCATTAGGAGATATACCTAATGCTAAATGACGAGTTAATGGGTGCAGCACACCAGCATGGCACATGTATACATATGTAACTAACCTGCACATTGTGCATATGTACCCTAAAACTTAAAGTATAGTAACAATAATAAAAAATAAGAAATAAAAAATAAATAAATAAAAAGAAAATGTTTCTGTTCTCAAGAACTTGAAAGGCTAGTGGCGAGACACAGATAAGAGATCATTTCAATTATCGTGATATAAACTTTACCTCTAACAAATAATTACTTGTTGATAAATCTGTATATAAATACTTCCATTTTACTTTTAAATTTCTTCCTCAATTTTAAACATTTTCTAATTAATGTACAATGCTTGGATCATATTTTAAACTTTATATTAATATTTTTAACTATTATTTAATTCTGTTTAATCAACTTTAATATTTTGTTGATATACAGAATTCCTGCATTAGAAACGGTAGATTTCTAGTATCTTTTTACATGGAAACACATAATTTTAGAGGCATACATCTACCACAAACAAGGCATCTTTTAAAAATTTAAAGCTTATAGTTATTAAGTGTTTCCTTAGAAGTAAAGAGATAGCAATTTTATAGTAATATGCCAAACACAGGTACATTTCTTAATAGTTTATTTACTGTTTTAAAGTAAGGTAATTTTGCCTCTTTTCTAGTTTCATAATTAAAGTTTCTCCTGCCATTTAGAGTAAACACAATTCCAGCCATGGGAGACAAGAATGACCAGTTCAAGTTCAAGGGTTCACTGCACATGAATATCCATAAATACCCCTTGACAGTCTTGGTAGTATAATGAACCTTGCAATTACTCAGCAGGCCATCACCACAATACATGAACATAATGCTTCCAAAGTCAAACAACAAAACATTATACAAATAATACCAACCAACTGCTACAGTTCACATAGGGCTTTTGGAAACTAATTAAATTCCAACAGTTTCTTTTAAACCTTTATACATTTGGAGGGAGTTTTGCTTTACTGAGCTATACTTATGGGAAATAATTAATAGAAAAAGGTGTTGGCATTATATACAACTGGGAGATGCCAATTAGCAAAACCCTCCTTCAAAATGACACCAGTTAATTCCAGCATGAGCCCTCAGAGTGAAATAGCCTCCCTCTTACACAATGCTAGTGCCTCATTGTCTTTAGGAATGTCTCCAATCATCCTATATATAACCTCCTGGGATAAGTGCTTTTGGCCCTGCCTTTCTATTGCCTCTGCACTGAAGAGATGATATTCATTAAGTTAAATCAATTGAATAAGAGTGTGCTTTCCTTTACTTTGGTGACTCTTCTATAGTGGAAAGCTTACCTCTACAAGGTGATCTCTGACACAGAATGATCAACTAGACAGTAATACACAGATAAAAGGTCATTATTAGCACTGCCAATAAAAAGTATGGAACATATTGAAAAATACATGTGTATATGCATATAAAAGCAGGCATTTCATCTACTCATTTAATTATCTGAGTGTTCTGGGGAATAAAGTACAACACTAAAAGTAAAAACAGTTCTATTATATTTAAGATAGTTTATTTTGACTCATATTTTCCCAGTCAAACTGAAGACTGCCTATGTGGAAAGTACCTTGAAATATAGGTAGCAAGTAAGTTTATGATTGTTAAGTTGGTAAATAGCTATCCTACACCATTTTCATCACAAAAGGTTTATTGTTACTCTGGACATCTTCAGAATAGGCTTGACATGATGGCTCGGCATTTATCATCCAGTTCAAAAGGAAAGATGAATAATAATGCAACTTGAGTTTCCCCCTCAGAATCACATGTAAACAGGATATGTTGATAAAAATTGGAGAAATTTTGGTTTTCTTCTACATCTTTTAATCAGATGACTTCAGATAACTGATTTAGCATTTTAGACTCCAACAAATTATGAAATAATCAGTACTTTGACCTCTAACTTTATTTTTAAATAAAATACAAAAGAAAAAATTAAGCTAATTGGGAAACAAGTTCTTTTAAATTTGGAAACAAGTATTTCATTTCATTATGGTTTACAAACAAAGCTAGCTGGTTTTCTGACCCTTAAACAGTACTATTTATTTTTAAGTGGGCCTTAGAGAAAGAAGCAATAATCTGTACTATTGATAACGTGAAAAATTTAGTTAAGAAAAATCTTGGCTGAGCATAGTGGCTCACACCTTTAATCCCAGCACCTTGGGAGGCTGAGGCAGGAGAATCACTTGAGCCCAGGAGTTTGGGACCACCTAGGGCAACACAGCAAGACTCCATCTCTACAAAAGTTTTTTTTTAAAAAATTAGCCACTGGTGGTGGCATGCCTTTAGTCCCAGCTACTTGGGAGGCTGAGGGAAGACAATCTCTTGAACCCAGAATTTTGAGGCTGCAGTGAGCTAGATCATGTCACTGCACTCCATCCTGGATAAGAGTGAGACACTACCTCTAATAAATAAGAATGGAAGGGAGAGAGGGAGGCAGGGAGGGAGAAGGGAGGGGAGGGTAGGGCAGGGCAGGACAGGGGAGGGGAGGGGAGGGGAGGGGAAAAATCTTCCTTTCATTTCTTTAAAAGTACAGACTTAAAAACAAACAACTATAGCACCCTTACCTATATTTTAGAAAAGTAAGATTAGGGCTAATCCTCATAATTACCATTTTTATCTAAAATAATTTAAACATTAAGGGAAAACTTCTAATGGCCTCTAAAAATTAAACGAATATTAAAGCACTTTTTTTCAGGAAAATAAAAAGTACTAGTAATTATACAGAGAATGTATAATATAAAATAATCGGAATAACAAATGGTGGAAAACCAAGCTTAATATGGACAGCCAATATGGACAGAAAGTTATTTTGCAGGAGGTTCAGCTTTACAATTGTGCTATAAAGGCTATACCTTTCTGTGATTTTAGGATTAACCCTAATGCTATAATTTGAGGTTAAATTTCTAAGACTTCAGAATCAAGTAAGTCACATACATGATTAAAATGTTATAAATTAAAAGACTCAGATAATAAGTCTCCACATAATATTTATGTTCTTCGATCTACAGAAAGAGAAAAAGAGAAAGAAAGAAAGAAAGAAAGAAAGAAAGAAAGAAAGAAAGAAAGAAAGAAAGAAAGAAAGAAATGAAAGAAAGCAATCCAGCCAGCCAAGCATGGTGGTATAAAATGAGCAAAAGTATACTGTACACACTGATTAGACAGGAGGCCTGACGTACCCTCAGGTGTACTTGTGACACATAAACATGCAATTGTAAATCTATGCCAGTGCTAATAAAAATTAAACAAATGTTTCATTGACAATTACATGTGCTGTCTTAAAGCAATGCTATTAAGATTGTATCAAGTCATAGCACAAATTTGAACAATGTTCTTTATCTTGATAAACTATCCTACAGTAAACAGATATTAAAAAACCATTCTAGTGAACTAAGACTTTGGTCAAAGTTCTATAACATATATTGAAAAAATTCAAAATTCATCTTTCTAATAAAGGTGATGTTTCTGAAAATCACTTTCAAATCTAAAGATCAACTCCAAAATTTGTCCCACTCACCTCCTTCTTCTAACAAAGTGTTCAAAGCTACTGAAGTGGCAACTTCTGAGAACATAACCAGATCAAGAAGACTATGAAACAATTCATGTGCAAAATGCCAAGTCAATCATCATACTTTACACTACCACAAGTGTGGTAACTAGTAGCACTATATTCAAAATATATCCCAAATTGAACCCCTTGTCTTCATGTCCACTACAAAAACCCCAGCCCAAGTCACCATCATCTGTCTTGCAGAAACTACTGTAACAGCCTCTTGTGAGTCTATTAACTCCACTGTGTCCTGCCATGGACACAGTTCTCCACTAAGCAACTAAAGAGATGACCTGACCACAAAGTTGAAAACACACATGACTTCACTGCCTAACATCTCCCAATTTCGAACAAAACCACACTCACTACTGTGAACGACATGGTTTGGCCTCGATCTGATTCTTTGACCTCTTTTCTTATCACTTTCCCCTTTGCGAAAATAATCCATGAATGCTGGTTTTCTTTCTATCACTCTTCCCCACACACCCAAAACTAATTTCCTTCCACGGTCCCTATACTTACTTCTTCCTCTTTCTCATTTTCTTTTTTTGAGATGGAGTCTCACTCTGTCACCAGGCTGGAATCTCAGCTCACTGTAACCTCCGCCTCCCAGGTTCAAGTGATTCTCATGCCTCAGCCTCCCGAGTAGCTGAGACTACAGGCACGCACCACCACGCCCAGCTAGCTTTTGTATTTTTAGTAGAGACAGGGTTTCACCATATTGGCCAGGATGGCCTCCATCTCTTGATCTCATGATCTGCCCGCCTCGGCCTCCCAAAGTGCTGGGATTACAGGTGTGAGCCAATGTACCCAGCCTTTTATTTTCATTTTTTGGGTTTCAGTTCCATGACAATCCTAAGTAAAAGTAACTACCAACTTTTTTCCTCATTTTACTTTCCTCAGAGCATTAATCTTGATCTGGCTTAATGGTCTTTGTTTTTGTATTTATTGTCTGTCTTCTATATATCAACACTCCAGGGATGGGTACTTTGTCATGTTCACAACAATGTCGCAAGCATCTATACTGTGACTGGCATAATTGATATTTAGGAAACTGGTGAAGTAAACCCAGTTATCCACGTTCATGTTGTATTTATGATGTGACAATAAGCCCTTGTCAGGTAACTCTCACAGCAACAGATGCCATGGGTTACAGATGAAGATACCAGGACCTGACTTCCCTCTCCCAATATAATAAGGCTTATTACACTTTTCTTAACAACTGACCTAGGTAGGAGGACATAGGAGAATTCTAGAAAGCGGGGAAAATCCTAAAAAGCTGATACCCTGAACTGGCAGCTGAAATTTTAACCTGAAATACGTGAAATAACTTCAATTGTCAAGATCAATAATTTCTCATCATCAAAGAGAGAAAGGGAACTTTCTAAAATAAAGGTAAGTTAAAGTCACTTCTTTAATTACAAAGAACGTGCAGTGTGCAAATGGAGATTCCAATATATTAGCTAATAGAATCACCCTTATTCAAGTAGCTAAGAGTTTTGGCCTCATGGGCTAACTTACACATTTAGCAGTTTTGAATTCAATAGTGCTATTAATAAACAGGGTCATCTTGCTGGATTTTAAAATATATTTTTGGAGTGGCCTAATGGGAAGTGCCTTGAACTAAGGATCACAGGATCTCAGCTCTACTGCAGTTCTGAGTAGGTCACCTAATCCCTCCAAGCATCCGTTCTTGCTATAAAATGGAAATCCCCTTATGCCTCCCAATATTGTCACATTGAACAAATGACATATTATGTGAAAGCTTGTAACCTATAAGATACTGTACAAAATCAATGTCCTCACATTAGTCATATGTATAAACTTGCATATATTAACATACATTTGGTATGAGAGGTCTGTTGTTTTATTTGTGGGTTTATATTTCAAAGCTGGGGAACCCAAAAATCTGTTACACAAATGCATATAAACACATTTTAAAGGAAGTGAGGCTGCATGCGGTGGCTCATGCCTGTAATCTCAGCACTTTAGGAGGCTAAATCAGGAGGATTGCTTGAGCCCAGGAGTTCAAGACCAGCCTGGGCAACATGGCAAGACTTCATTTCTATCAATTTAAAAAAAAAAAAATTAGCCAGGCATGGTGGCACATGCTTGTGGTCCCAGTTATTTGGGATGCCGAGACAGAAGGCTTTCTTGGGTCTAGGAGTTTCAGGCTGCAGTGACCCATGAACGAGCTACTGCACTCTAGGCTGGATGACAGAGCAAGACTCTGTCTCATAAATGTAAACAAATAAAAATAAAAGAAATGAGTCTTAAAGGTTTGCCATCATTGCTGCTAGATCTGAAATAACTTCAAAGGTCTGATGTAAGAGTTGGAAAGAACATATACATTTAAAACATTTCGCCATACTGGAAGTTTTCTTGGCAGGCATGTGTTGTATGGGAGAAGGCAACGATCTCTGAGGAAAGAGGAGAAAGGTATGGAGAAAAGCTTTGGGTGGATATGTGTTTAAACTGGAAATACGTTGGGTTATATTCATTTTGAGCCTTATAGGCTTTACACTGGAAATGGGAAATATTCTCCCATTAAGGAAAATAAAGGTAGTGGCAATTTCACTGTAAAAAAAAGATGTACTGTATTTCTGGAAATAAAGAAACCATCTGAAGTTTTCCCTCTGTTATAACTTTAGAGTATGGCCCTGCTAACAGGGTGGCTTTCATTTACATCTAACCTGAACACCAAGGCATTATTGGTGATCCACAGCACAGTCTTTCTTACAACAGAACGGGTTGGTCTCTTTTCCTCTGTCAGAAGGAAAATATATTTTATATTAAATCTTTATCATTCCTTTAAATTAGCAGTAGTAGTTACATGGCATATAATATTTTAATACCATTTTATAATGTCTCATTTAAAAACTCAATTCCCATAGTCTTTTTATAAGCTCATATTTCAGAAATCGCATTGATGCCATAGAAATGAACTCTATGGGTACACACACTTCTAAACATAATAAAAATAAAAATATTTTCCTGCCGTAGAACATAACATTAAAGCTCAGAAATAGGCACAGCACATGAAATTTTAAAAGAATATATAAATATAAATAGCAAAGGTCACACCTAGAACATCAATAAAATTTCCTTCCATTTCATATTTTGTTTCAAATATCAAACATCTACCAAAATTCAGAGAAAAAAAGCTGACCATGCCAAATGATTATAAATGATTTCTACTATCATTCAAAAAGAAGCACACACTAACAGAATTTGAAAAATGTTGATTGTTTAGGGTAGTTACTTGAATTATTCAATGTGGTCAGAAAATACATCTGATTTGGAACACTTACCTAGCAACAGTGCACAAAAAGATATTTTCGAACAGCCACTGCTAAAACTTATTTCTAAATGGGGAGTTTTCATATTTTCTTTCCAATAAAACAAAGTGGGCCTTTAAAAACCATATGGTGGTGTAAAAAGAAGTTTCATTCAGCATCTTTTTTTAGACACAGGTTTCCTTATAAAATATACCACAGTCACAAAGCTGAAGGAGCCTTCTTGTTTCTGCGGACAAAGCCTCTCGCCATCTAACGAGTCTTCTGCAGCTCTGCTAGCCACTGCGCCCGTCCTATTTCTTCTCTCCCAAAAAAGAAATTGTAAACAAAATGGTATTGTTTTTTAAACAAGTTATTTTTCATCTATTTAGCAAGCTATTTTGAGGTAACACATATGTAAGAGAAACCTTTCCCACTGCTCACGTAAGTTCCTATTAATTTTGAGCTAAGCTCTTTAGATAGAACGTGCTTTGCCAATACATGAGAATAGACCAGTTCAAAAGAACAAACGTATGTCTGTAACTATTTCCGCCAATCTCCAAGCAGCATTAATAGTGTTCATTTTAAATTTCTGAATACAGCAGTGGGTTCAGAAACATTTTTATGCTCCATATTTCACATATGACTTATAAATATATGCATATTTTGTATGTATAAAATATTACACAACTTAACATTTTGCATAGCATTTCTGCCCTATTACATAAGGAAGCCAATAAGAACTGACTTAGTGAATTTTGGTAGACCAATGGGAAATATCAAAATGCCAAAAAAAGAAAGGAATATCCTAATCAGCATTTATTTAGCTGTATTAACATCATGAAAGAAAAATAATAAGCAGCTAAAGTGTTTAATTTGGTATAATGCTATTGATTTCATAATACATTAACACCAGGTTTAAATTTTATTAAATCAGATGAACCAAAGCCTGAATAATATGCTAGGTTAAAAACCTTCTTTAAAATCTCTAACTTATAGCTACTCCACACCATGTAAATGATGCAAGAATTCATAAACACAAAAGTATGCAATAAGACAATCACTGCATTTGCACTGCATTCTTTCTAGGCCAAGTAAGTACTGTACTTTCTTCCATGTTGAATATAAATATGGTAGGAATTGAAAGAAAAAGCTACAAAGAATTTGTAACTGCTATTTCCCATTATATTTTAGACCTAGGGAAAAAATTAAAAATTAGGAATACGCTATTTGTTACTTAATCCCATACAACTCCATACTTGCATGCCCATATATGACTATTTCTTTCAGCGTATTTTCTTCATAAAGTCTCAAGCATCTTTGCAATCCAGTGATCATAAATAAGATAGCCAGACACGGTGGCTTATGCCTGTAATCTCAGCACTTTGGGAGGCAAGGCAGGAGGATCACTTGAGGCCAGGAGTTTGAGATCAGCCTGGGCAACAAAGCAAGACCTCATCTCTACAAAAATAAAATTAAAAACATTAGATGGTTATGATGGTATGTGCCTGTAATCCTAGCTACTCAGGAGGCTGAGGCAGGAGCATTGCCTGAGCCCAGGCTGCAGTTCAAGGCTGGAGTTGGAGGCTGCAGTGAGTAACGATCGTGCCACTGTACTCTAGCCTAGGCAACAGACAATAACGTGTCTCAAAACTAATAACAAAATAAAAATAAATTGGTGTTTCACCAGTAGACGGCACCATTTACGTAGGGCAAGTTTCTCAATCCCAGCAATATTAACATTAACATTTTGAGCTAGATAACTCTTTTTTTTTTTTTTTTTTGAGATGGAGTCTTGTTCTGTCACCAGTCTGGAGCGCAGTGGCGCAATCTCGGCTCACTGCAACCTCTGCCTCCCGGGTTCAAGCAATTCTCCTGCCTCAGCCTCCTGAGTACTTGGGACTACAGGCATGTACCACCACGCCCAGCTAATTTTTTGTATTTTTAGTAGAGACCGGCTTTCACCATGTTGGCCAGGATAGTCTCGATCTTTTGACCTCGTGATCTGCCCGCCTCGGCCTCCCAAAGTGCTGGGATTACAGGCGTAAGCCACTGCGCCCAGTTGATAATTCTTTTTTGTAGGAGACTGTCCTTGTAGTGTAAGATGTTTAGCAGCATCCTTGACTTCTACTCATTAGATCCTGGTGGCATCCCTACCTAGCAGTAAAAATAAAAAATGTCTCCAGACATTGCCAAATGTCCCCTGGGAGACAAAATTGTCTCTGGGTTGAGAACTGCAGATTTAAGGCAATGGGTTTTCATTTTAATTGCAAATTTAAATTAAGATAAATCAAGATTCTCTGGCAAGGTACAAATATAATCAAACTTTATTATTATATAATAAACTATAAGGTGCATAACACCCAAGCTTGTATAAATTTACACTATTCTCTTCAATAATAATTTTAAATTTTATCAAGGTACCAATATTGGCAGTAACTATTTCTGATTTTCCAAAAATATACCCCAATTAAAATATTTCCTTTCACCACTTGAGGACGATTTATTTTGATTTTGGTCTAACTTAAACAGCTAGGAGTAAGTACAGGAAGTTTTATCTGAAAAATGAACATGGACCAAGTCTTATAAATTGGCCCTAGTGCTATTTCCTATCATAGCTCCTGTTTGTTTACACTGGAGTCCTTATAAATTGAGTGTTATTTCCTTTCCACTAAGTTTCAAGGTATTAACAGCCAAGGAGGTGTTTTTCGACTTCTTCCTCCCTCCCTTTCTCTCACTTTCCACAAATAAATAATGCCTTGCATGGATCACAATTTTAAGACCAGTCCCCAAACTTCAAAACTACTAATACAGTGAACTGATTTTACCTAAACCCACCTTTATATTTAAAAACATAACAGTTTCTCTATAATGGAAAGGAACAAAATATGCATTCTCTAGTAGGTAACTTTACTTTCCAACAATATCATTTATCTAGTCATTTCACAGCTAAACCTTGCAAATTCTTAAGTAAAGCAGTTCCATTTATTTTGACTTCCTGCCTAGCCTCTTCCTTCCAGAGAAAACATTATTCTAATATTTTTATCCATTAAGTACTCTTAAAATTAAATGCCCCTATTTAAACAAAATTTGTTACCCTCACTCCAAAAATGAGGACGCTGGGCACAATTAAGGAGGCAAATGTTTTTCAGTTCTCTGGATAAAGTTATATTTGTCTAGTTTTAAAGAAGCATAGGTTATTTCCATTAGCGACTTCCATTCATGTGAATTACTACAACTACAGTGGTAAAACAAGTGGCTTTGTATGCAATATGAAGCGGTATTCGACAGTTGCAAAACTTCCCTTGACCAGTGAACTTCCAGTGAAAAAAAAACTGTTGAAAGTTCATGCACCCCAATTGCACATTCATTATAATTAAACAAAAAGATTACACAGACATTGCTGACAAGGATTATCAAAATAGATTGGCGCCACCTGCCCCTTGCTATCCCATTAATTAGTATGAAGTCCGAGGTGCCAATTAGCAAGAAGCAGCAGAAAAGGATCAGTAAACACAGCTCAAGCTGAACTTGAAGATTAACTCTTCCAGTTCAGGTTCCATTTCTTAACCACACTAGGTTGATTTGTTTATGCAACCCAAAATTGAATCCTAGGCTGGTTTGTTTGTCAGTTTTGAAAAATAGTAGTTATTTATCATTAGGAAGACATTTCAGTTGTGTGAAATAATAATTCCAAAAATAACTGCACAAAAAGCTCATATAATTCCATAAACAAGTGGACACTCAGTATTTCACAGGGATGCAAAATACTTAAAAATCCAGGTAATCCAGTGACTAAAATGCTTTCACATTATAAATTACAGATCTGTGGTAGTTAATATTAACTCAGGGAAACAACTAGAGTACTGTGTGGTTAAGGGTAACTAACATCCCCCTAGCTACTAAATAGCACTTTATGGGCTAGAGCAATATTAACTTTCTAAAAAGCAAGTAGAGTAAATGGCTTCATTATTTGTTTTCTGGAAATATTATTAATCAGCTTTCAATTTATTCATTCTTAAAACAAACTTTCCAAAAACAATATAGGTATTTCCATACAATTCCCAACTCAATCCAAAACTTCTCTGTTGACAGCAACATTATTCTGGATACCTAAAATTACTTCCTTTAAGAACAGTATTGTAAAATGCAAATTATCAGCAAATTAAAATGTGAATTTTATAAGACTGTTGCATGTACATAAAATGATTAGCATGCATTCTTTAATAATTATTTTATATTTCATCACTAAATATTTCAGTTTAACCTATACATTAAAATTTGCTTTACTTAATGTGAACTGACTTTATTAAAAAGATAGTATTATCGCTTCTCAGCCTTTTGGCTAGGATCAAGCATGAAAAGACAGTATTTTCCTCAAACTTTAGAGAGGAATTTTGCCCACAGAAACCTTCCGAATTTGTTTACCCATTTCACAACAGTATTTTCTTTTTGATGTTGACATAAAAGCATCTTATCTCTCTAGAGTTTCCACAACTATAGAGCAGGTGTTCTCTAACAACACTATCTACAAATCCTGAAGAATAAAATGTAGACTCTTTGCATTAGAAAAAGATATATACCAAGGCCATTTCAAGACCCAAATTTCCCAGTGGCAGTACAGTATACACATTGAAAAATGGGAATAACAATCTCAGAGTTGCTGAGAGAATTAAACCAGATAACAGGCTTAAAGGAAAGTTTTTAGGGCAACACTGAAATACTGATGAAATATTGAAATACTGATGCTAAGTGCCAAGATTCATCTGTCTAGGAAACACCTCAAACATTACCTGTGACTGACAACACTCTTAACATCTAACTTTGTGGCACACTGGGGTGAAGCCCAAGAACTGAATGTTTAAGAAACACACATGGTGATTCTAACACAGGCCCCATATGGCCCACACTAACATTGCTTTTAGATATGAACATGCAGAGGCCACATACATGCAAAAAAGTCCCTCGTGATGCAGTAAGAAGACAGGTGGAGAGAACAGGGTAGTGGCTATGGGATCAAAGTCAGATAACCTTTCCCAAGGCAGCAGTAGTTCAGCACAGAATTCACACAAATACAGGAATTATACACTGGAACCTGGCCTTCCAACTTCAGTTCGTTTGAGAAACTGAAAAGAACAATATTGACAGGAAAGAGAGCTGCTTGCATGGCTTGCTGAAGAGTGAAAAGAAACCTTGCAAATTCCTCACTTGGGCATCTTCTGAGAAATCTGAAGAGTGGGGTTAAGGAAAGAGTACACAGTGGATAAACAGCTGAGTCTTCGTGGGGAGGAAAGACCCCCACTCATAGAAGGAAAAACAAAGTGAATGTTTTCCCTATGGAAAAAGAAACTGAAGGAGCAAATAAAATAACTATAAATCTTTTCTCCCTACTGTTGTCTTGTCTGACCAATGCTGCTGTGTCTCCCTATAATAAATCATAGTCCTTAATGAAAAATGACAATTACACTGAAGTTGCACTACCCACAGTTACTTGGTATAAACTGTTGCTTTATATAGTTACATATATTGTGGGTAAGATGGTATACTTGTCAGGGAAAGGGGACAAATATATTTTTATTTAATTGCATGTTAGCTAAATTTATAACTTTTAAATATCTTGACATATGGTCTGCAGTTCTCCATTTGTACTCTTGCCCTGGACCCCGCAAAAGTCAGGAGTAGATGTGGAAAACACTTCGCAAATACTTTGTTAAAGCCTTCCATCTTTCTCCTTCTCTTGCCATTCTTTTCTCTTATCTCTACAATCTATAAATAATTGCAAAATAATTCAAAATACCTGCAATATTTTAACATCCTTTTTAGATATTATGAATATTCTTCCTTAATACTACTCCCAAATTCAAGAAGTGGTAGTTTCTCAAAAGTTTAGTTGCAACATAGATTTGAATCATACGAATAAAACATCTGTATGATGACATTACAATCTATTCTATTATCTTCTACTTTGAATGAATCTCTCATCCATGCATAATTTTGTAACATCATGTGTTGATCACTGATCATTTGAAAAATATCAGCCCACTGAGTTACGCAGAACTTTCAAATGGTAACACATTTCCTAATGAAGTAACAACAAAAAAAAAATCACACTTGTAATATCTGGACCAATGTCATCAAAAAGGATTTTAAATATTTAGACGCTCTCAAGGTCACTGTGGCAGTTGCAAAGTTTTTCAAAATTGCAGTTTTTACTTGAAAGTTCAAATTGTATCACCATCACAAACACTATCAATTATCTGCCTTGAAGTAATATGTTCACTTCACTCATTTTGACAAAAACATCTACTCAATATCTAAGTCTGAATTGTTAGTTTGTCTGTCTGTCATATTTTCAATTTAAAATGATGTTCCAGCCGGCGCGGTGGCTCACGCCTGTAATCCCAACACTTTGGGAAGCCAAGGCGGGCGGATCATAAGGTCAAGAGATCAAGACCATACTGGCCAACATGGTGAAACCCCGTCTCCACTAAAAATACAAAAATGAGCTGGGCGTGGTGGCATGTGCCTGTAATCCCAGCTATTCGGGAGGCTGAGGCAGGAGAATCACTTGAACCTGGGAGGCAGAGGTTGCAGTGAGCCGAGACCGTGCCACTGCACTCCAGTCTGGTGACAGAGTGAGACTCTGTCTCAAAAAAAAAAAAAATGATGTTCCAGGCTAGGCATGGTGATTCACGCCTGTAATTCCAGCACTTTTGGAAGTCAGAGGTGAAAGGATCACCTGAGGTCAGGAGCTAGAGACCAGCCTGGGCAACACAGTGAGACCCTATCTCTACAAAAAAATTAAAAAATGAGTCTGGTGTGGTGGTGTGCACCTGTAGTCACAGCTACTTGGGAGACTGAGGCAGGAAGATCCCTTGAGACCAGGAGTTGGAGCTATAGTGAGCTATGACAGCACCACTGCAGTCCAGACGGGGCAACAACAATCAAAAAAAGAAGTTCTGTTAAATAAAGGAACTAGTTCTGCAACAACTCCTTGAGTAAAACCATTGTCCTTCAGTATGCAGCAGGACCAAGGGTATTTCTATTTCACTACAAAGAACATTAAAAAGGCATGAGATTTCACACGATTGAAAATTTTTACTACTTTGTCAAGAACATTTTTCAGTTAAATGATCATTTTTCTTTTCTTTCTTTCGTGTGTGTCAGTGAAGATCACCACAGCATACAGCACACCCTGTATGTTTATGGGTGCTGAGGTGGCAGCAATTTTACCTGCCTCTGCTTCTAAACCACAGAAGCAAATGTCAGCACTGAGCAAAAAACATGTCAGTGTTCTTGTGAAAATAGCTTTGAATTCACAAAGGCCCTAAAGGTTCTTAGAGACACCCCCTCCCAAGGGTCCATGGACCACACCTGCAAGCCACTGCTCCGGCTGCCTCTTCCCATGCATCACAGAACCCTCTGGGACGGAGGGACAGCCACACTCCCACTCCACCCCATAGCCCTGCTAGATGACATTCTGTGAAGTACAGAACCATTTCGTTCTTAGCAGAGTGTTTTAAACCACCAGTCACTGGGAAATAACGACATCTCAAAAAGGTCCGAATCTTGAAATCAGGACCTTGGTAGTAAATTAACCCTCATAGTAAAAATCTACAAATCTAATCACTTAATTTCTAAGGATCCACTTTACGTATAAAAGATGATATTAAAGGAAGATTAGGTTCCCTTTTAGAATTCTGATATTATAATGATAAAGTCAGATAAAGGGTCTCTGCATCATCTTACCCTACATAAAATAGAGAATGCAATCATGCCCAAGCCTTATTTCAGAGCCAGGTTAGTGGCCTTTCACTCTGTATAAGCTACAATATAAACCAAAGAAAAATTCTACACAATTAATTAATTTAATATTAGTTGGAGTTTGACATAACAAAATTGAAATTGATTCATCAAATTAAACAGGTCAGGCTTTTTTCATTGTTTCTAAATAATGGTAGTTAAACCCTAGAAAAGATTGCTTTTATTAACTTAATTATTCTTAATGTCTTTGAATCTACAATTCTTCAGTGGATTCTATGAATTATAAGATAGTCTAACTTCTGAGTTTGGATGCTGAGATAATATTTGCTGAATCAACAAATATTTATATTAACGGCAGAATTTAGAATTAGAAAAGATTTTACAGTTGATTTAGTTAACAAGACAGCAAATATGTTTACTACTTATTAGCTGTCTCAACTATTATAGAATCATTTATTCATTCTTTTAACAATTATTTAGGACTTAAACCTGTCAGACAACCACTGTAAGCACCAGATAAACAGTAATAAACAAAACAGACTCCCTGACTAAATGTAAAACTGTATTTTCCCTAATGACACAGACCTAGCCCCAAATCCTTAAAACACTGTATCAAGAAACCACTACTAAGCAAATGTGCCACTTGGATCTAGTTTTAGGGTAATAAACATCTTTATTTTAAGATGACAAAGTGTCTCATGTGATGTTAGATGCTACAGGAAAACCTGAAAGTAAAAGACAGTAGTTTCCACAAAACCACTACAATCTAATTAGGTAAAGTGATACATACATATATACATAAAGCAAACATATAATAAGTAGTATAATAAAATATCAACTTTATAACATAACAAGTGAAACAGACATCTAGACTTCAATGTGGGTTGATGACTTCAAACAATTATATCTTTTCTAATTCATCACTTCTTTACCGTTGCTGTTTTCTTCTATTCCATGTATCAGTAGTGCTATTCCGAAAGTTTACGTTTTCTAATTTTTTAAATCATCTTTAAGGACACTGTTTGCTCCCATATATACAGAAAACAATGACTGTATAAATCCTGAGAAACTGGGCAGTCTTAGAACCTGTTTTCTCATGCCTTTTCCAGAGTACAAATAGCTAGCCTGGGGAGGCATCTCTGCATGGGGTGAGCTGTCTCATATGTAAGGCCTATTCATGTGGGTCCTTTAGTACTGACCTGTACCTGTAAGTCAGCCAAGGAAGCAAATGTCCATGATTTCTCAATGGAAAATCAGATAAAAATAATTTTATCTAAAATAACATCAGTTGAAGAAAATACATCAGGAACTAGCCTTGCAGGGCTCAAACTAAAAAATTAACCATAAAAATAAAATTCTAGAACTTTTACATAATCAAATTAGACAGATATATAGTCATTGTTGGTGGGACTTTTGAAAGTCATATTTACTAAATCTGTGTCTCTACTTTGTACAGCCTCCTAACTAAAGGGCACATAACTTTTTTTTTTATTTGAAAAACTAGTTATTTAATGAGAAAGTTATATAATTTTTAACATAAGACAAAACATTAAAAAAAATAAATTGCCCCTTTAAAAATTTTGCTTTCAACATTTTTTAAAGTATTAAAAAGTTTAGTCTCTCAGGAACTCTCTTAAAAATGATTTCTTCCTTATTTTGGATAGGCACCTATTTGTTTCTATGAGAGCGAGAATTACTAACCCAAACTGTGTTAATTATGAAGAAATTCTTCTCCAAAATTTTGTTTCTTCTTCTCAGTACTATTGTATTTTATCATCTTTGTGTAAATACTTGTAATTCTGCTTGTGTTATAAAAGCCTATTTAAGATATAGTAAATGAAGGACAGATGTTTAAAACATGGGTCCACAATGAAGTTGTAAATGCTGCTAGCACAGTAAATTCTGTGATTAATTTTAGTTTGTTTATGCAATACGTATATTTACACAGCTGGAAAAGCATCAAAAATAACTGTCTCTATGCCAATATTAATTCAAAATCAGTATTAATAAGAAGCAGCATAGGTACATTTACATCAAAGTACACAAAGGTTAAGTACAAATGCTTAAGATTAGAAATGAATCATTCAAATATATCAAGAATCAATTTCTCTTTAATTAATTAATTACAACATATTGAAATAATAATTCACAAACTGTATGCTGCCTCACTTTCTGGTTCTGACTAAAAAACACACCTTCCTTCTGACAGACGTAAGGTTCTAAATATGTGTGTACATCTAGACAGAAACCTGCTTAGTTGATCCCTCAGTTCCTTAATTGTCTAATAGGTATTGAAACCTTTGTATGAAACTCTGCATTTTAACTTAATGTGTTAAGAAAAAAAAGAGCAAAAATTATTTTTAAATGGCTAATGAATTTCAAAGGGGACATCTCAAAATAGGGAATCTGCACATTGTATTTATGATTAAAGAGCAATGTCCATTTTTCCTACTTATCTATAAAATAGTTCCATCAATATCTTAAGTAGAACAAATGAGGCAAGACAGGCTAGTTATCACCTAACATCCATCTTTTCTTTTTCTTTCTTTTTTTTTTTTGTTGTTGTTGTTGTTGTTTTTGACACAGAGTCTTGCTCTGTTGCCCAGGCTGGAGTGCAGTGGTGGGATCTTGGCTCACTGCAACCTCAGCCTCCTGGGTTCAAGAGATTCTCCTTCCCTAGTTTCCCAAGTAGTTCAGAAGACAGGTGTGTGCCACCATGCCCAGCTAATTTTTGTATTTTTAGTAGAGATAGGGTTTCACCATGTTGGCCAGACTGGTCTTGAACTCCCAACCTCAGATGATCCACCCACCTCAGCTTCTCAAAGTACTGGGATTACAGCCGTGAGCCACTGCACCCAACCCCATCTTTTCTTTTTCCTTGGCAACAGATTCCTGGTTTTTCAGAGTAGTAATATAGCCAGCTAAAAGATCATGAGGTAGCCATTGAATTAAAAGCTGGCTAATAAAATGTAACCAGAGGGCGGACATTTTGAATTGCTGCTTAAGGAAGGTACTTGCCTAGGAGGTATATGGATATGTCTGTCACTCACATCCACTTCTTTCCTGCTGCCTAGAAATTAGACATGACAGCTAGAGCGACAGCAGCCACAATGAACCATATGTGTCACCGAAGATGGAAGCCACAGGCTAGGCTGGCGGAGCAGAAAAAGAGAGAGATACTAGGTCCCTGAGCTCTGTGGAACAGTCTCATAATCCCTGATTGCCTACCTCTGGCTACTATTCTTAGCAAACTAACACAGGGACAGAAAACCAAATACTGTATGTTCTCACTTATAAGCGGGAGCTAAATGATAAGAAAGAAACAACAGACAGTGGGGTCTACCTGAGGGTGGAGGGTGGGCGGAGGGAGAGGAGCAGAAAAAATAACTATTGGGGACTGGGCTTAATCTCTGGGGGATGAAATAATCTGTACAACAAACCACCGTGACCCAAGTTTACCTACGTAACCAGCCTTCACATGTACTCCCGAATCTAAAATAACAGTTTAATAAAACACACAAACAAAAAACAAATTTAACAAAATCAGGTACAGATTAAAAAGCAACTGACATAAATTAAAGGTTTTTCACAAAAAAAGAGAGAAATAACTTTTAGTTTTTTCTACAATTATTTACAGTTTCTTTACTTCCATCCAAATGCAATTCCTAAATAATATAAGGCACATATCCAGCATATGAAAAATTAAGCTGATATCCATGGTCCGATGCCTCATGAGAGTGACCCTAACACTTTCTAGTAGGAGAGAGAATCTGTCAACCCATTTTGATCCTTTTGGACACCAAAACTCACCCTGAAACAAATCTTTCTTAGCTATTACTGAACACCTGAGTGGTTTTCTTATCATAAGACATAAAGTAAAGATACAACATTGCTCTGGATTAAGGGGTAACAGATTTCTTGGTTGCCTAGCAAGGATCTTCCAATACCCTGTTTTAAAGAGCTAGTCTAAGGGAAGAACTAACCAATTTTCAT
The DNA here is from genome assembly GCF_000001405.40 of Homo sapiens. Taxonomy (NCBI): domain Eukaryota; kingdom Metazoa; phylum Chordata; class Mammalia; order Primates; family Hominidae; genus Homo; species Homo sapiens. Next base: position 95,010,604 of record NC_000004.12, on the reverse strand, counting down.
ACGGCCAAGCAATTTCCAAGGAGCAGAGACTCCCAGCTCCATTTCCTTTGAAATGCAATACTACTGAAATTTCTCTTTTAATGAAGTGGGACAACTAATGAGAGCAAAAGACACTGAACACCAAAAGGAGGGAATGGAGAACCAAAATCAGGCTCTAGATGATGAAGCTGTTAGAGAGATATGGTTCCAAAATAGTGGATAACTGAGGATGGAAGTTTCACTAAACCAGAAGGGTGTCACTTCGGGGTGAGCAAGGACCTATTCCAGCAGTAATGAGAAAACACACATCAATTAACAACCATGCACTGGAATGGATGGAAATAGCTTCCAGGAATGACACAGTGGCAGGTACAGAATAACAGCAATATGAAAGATGTGATTAATTTGGGGGGTCTGAGATTATTGTACTTACACAAGGAAATGTAAAGTACCCATCTTTACCCTGAAACGGGCCCCTCCTATGTCTTCTATTTTTATAAATCATACCAGCATTTAGCCAATTAGCCAGGTCAGACAACATGAGATGTTCTGTTGCTATTCCTTCTCTGTGTCCCCCAAATCTGTTTGGTTTATGCTCTTTTTACATCTTTCAAGTTTCCTTTGTCTTGCAATCCTCTGCCTCTGTCTTAAGTTCATGTTCTCATTTGGTCTCGCTCGGTTGTACTATGCCATCTTTTGGCTAGATTCTCAACTTCAGTTCATCATTCTCCACACGGAAAGAGGAACTCCTCTTCAGTGAAAGATCCTTCTTTACAAATGAGTACACTGAGGCCCAGAGAAGTTAACTAATTTGTTACAGTTCACACAGTTACTAGATGGTGGAGGCAGGCTCAGAACTCCAGATCTCTAAATTCAGAGCCCACCATTTTAGCCACTTACCAAACTATGAAGGGCCCCTCAGATAAACCATTAAAGTAGAAAATAAGGGTATCCTGAAAACTGGTGTTCGAACCTGCCACATACTCCTTAACTGTGTCTTAAATATCATATTTTCTCAATTCCATGAAGCCAACTTCAACTTGCTAAGAGAGGAAGAAGAAACTCTACATCATTTTAATGAGAATCATGTTGTATGTATTTTTTGTGACTTGCTTTTTTCATCCAAAATTGTGTTTTGGGGATTCTGCAGGCTCATGAATGTAGCTGGGGAGCATTCATTTTTATTACTATGTTAATTCCACTGTATAAAATATTTTCCAACTTATCAGATCTGTTCTCTTTTGGGTTGTTTCCAGATTTCTTTCATTTGTTTGTTTCCCTACTATGTATACTACTACTATTAAAAAATTGCATACCTATTTCCTGAGGCATACAAGCAAAAATTTCTATAGGATATATACCTAGGGGTAGAATTGCTGCGGAAAAATATGTTTATGTTCGGTTTCAATTTATCAATACAGCTGTACCAATTTGCATCGCCATTAGCAGTGAATGAGAGTTCGTGTTGCTTCACATCCACACCAAGATTTGTTATTTTCAGACTTTTATATTTTTACCAACATGGTAGGTATGAAATGAAATGATACATCACTCTTTTTTTTTCTAAGAGAGACAGAGAGTCTCATTCTGTCAATTAGGCTACAGTGCAGTGGAGTGATCACAGTTCACTGCAATCATCAACTCCGGGGCTCAAGGGATCCTTCTGTCTCAGCCTTCCAAAGCACTGGGATTATAAGCATGAGACACTGTGCCCAACCCTCATCACTCTAGTTTTAATTTTGTTCTTTAATTATTAATGAGGTTCAGCATGTTTCATATGTTTATTGACTATTTGGATTTTCTCTTTTTGAAATTCCTATTTTTATATTTACCAAATTTACTTTTCTTACTGATTCATGGTATCTTTAATAAATTCTATATACTAAACCAATTTTGGGTCTTTCTTATTCTTTTTTAGTGTCCTTTGATGAACACAGTTTTGATTTTTCATTTTAATGTTGCTGAATTAATTAATTTGTTTCTTTATTATTTGCTCTATTTCTGGTCTTGGTAAAGAAATTCTTAGCTGATAATAAAAATATTTATTTTCTAAATATTTTAAAGTATTGGCTGTCATAGTTAAGTCCTTCATCTATACAGAATTTGCTTCTGCTTACGGAATGAGGTGAGTAGTAACAATCTGCACTTTCCATGTGGATAACCCCCTGTAGTAGTGGCAGCTTGGACTCAAGGCTTACTGGAACCTCAACAAGAATAAGTGTTAGATTGCTTGATGATATCTGCCATGGATGGAAGCATAAAACTGAAGTTACTGCATAGCATTACAGATGGAGAGAGAAGGAAAGTAGAGTGGTTAAGGGAAAAGAAAATCGAGGTGACAAATTCACTCCACTCACATTTTTATGACTTTTTACATAGTTTATATAACTCTACATAGTCACGCTGTCATCACTTTTCCCCGTACAGTATGAGACAGATATTCAATAGTTTACTTAAGCTGGCCTGTATTCCTTATAAACTCTTTACTGACATACCAACACAGCTTATTAAAATAGTCAGGAAAATATTACTGCCACCCTATATACTGATTAATAATTTTTATGTGATAATTCAGTGGCTCTCAAACTAAACTCCCACATAGTTGCACAAGCTCAATACAGGTGTTCTGCCACTATAATCATATTAAATTCTTTTCTCAGTTTTCAAAAACAACTAAATTAAATTTATAAAATTTTCTTAATATTAAATAACACTCTCATAACTTTTTTCTTAAATGACTTGTACCTACCACTGATTATTTCTATAGACTTTGGTATGGGTTAACACATTAGGTATTTATTTCTTTATATTTTCATATATTGCAATTAAGATAACCAAGCTTTAGAACTATTCTGGCAAGGCCAAAACACTTAGCTTTTCACTCTGGGATCTGCACCCACCCTTAACTTCATCTTGATTTTTCTGTGTATAAAATGCATATTCTTGTTTCAAAGCATTTGAAGGAGCAAGGTGAAAAGAAGCAATAGGTCTTAAAATCCTTTTAAAATGCAAAACATTTTACAACAGGAGTTATAATTTATAAGAACCTTAAATTATATCTTACAAATAATGGGGCTAGAACAGTCATGAAAAAGTCAACAGATAATTTCTAAAGGTTATTTTTTCCATAGCTTTTATTTCTCCTATGCCAAATCTTGAAAAAAGGTTCTTCTAACTAGATTAAAAATAGAATTTGTTTTGAATATTATTTTCTGTCTCATATAATTCCTAACAGAGTTCCTGAAAAGCAGAGCAAGGCAAAGGTAAAAAGCTAACAGAATAACTATATACAAATAACTTAAAACATCTATTTTTATAATGATGTGTTCTAAAAATTCATGCCATCATAGTGTGATATTACTAATGAAAAAGTCTATTAGAGGTTAACTGAAATTAGAAAGCTTGAAAATCTGACCTGCCTCAAAAAACATTCCAGAGTATAGCATGGATTTATTTGGAAGAACATGTTTTCATAAGTATTGTTGCTGTTGTTGTATAAAGAAACCCTGGTAGAGTTACAAAAGTGAGAAAAATATAAAATAACATGAGAATAATATATTAAAATTAATTAATGTATTAATGTTCGTAAATATCAACAGACTCTTGTCTTCCTTGTAGGAATAGAGTTGCTGCTCTCTGATTTGGACACCTGGTAAATGTGAAAGCCTTATGAATTGCTGCACTACTTCTCAAACTTTTAGACATGTATAGGAGTAGGAAAGTAAAATTACTTATTTTAAAAGAGAGTCATATATTATACTGTAAAGTTTTAAGAATCAGAAGGTAGGGCTGGGCGTGGTGGCTCATGCCTGTAATGCTAGCACTTTGGGAGGCCGAGGCGGGTGGATCACGAAGTCAGGAGTATGAGACCAGCCTGGCCAACATGGTGAAACCCAATCTCTACTAAAGATACAAAAAATTAGCCAGGTGTGGTGGTGCGCCTGTAATCCCAGCTACTGGGGAGGCTGAGGCAGGAGAATCTCTTGAACCTGGAAGACAGAGGTTGCAGTGAGCCAAGATCGCACCATTGCACTCCAGCCTGGGGGACAGGGCAAGACTCCATCTCAAAAAAAAAAAAAAAAATCAGAAGGTATTTGATTTCTTATCTCCCTTTCTTTCCAACCTACATAATCGTAAGTATTGTCATTTAACCTTCCTGAACTTCCATTTCCTTACCTTTAAAATAGGGATAATAATAGCCATCACATAGAATTATTATAAGGATTAAATAAAACTTTTTTTTTTTTTTGAGATGGAGTCTCGCCCTGTTGCCCAGGCTGGTCTCGTACTCCTGATCTCATGATCCACCCGCCTCAGCCTCCCAAAATGCTAGGATTACAGGTGTGAGCCATCGCGCCCGGCCCTACCTTCTGACTATTAAAACTTTGGTGCAATGGTGCAATCTCAGCTCACTGCAACCTCCTCCTCCTGGGTTCAAAGGATACTCCCGCCTCAGCCTCCCCAGTAGCTGGGATTACAGGCGCCTACCACCACGCCCAGATAGTTTTTGTATTTTTAGTAGAGACGAGGTTTCACCATGTTGGCCAGGCTGGTCTCGAACTCCTGACTTCGTGATCCGCCTGCCTCAGCCTCCCAAAGTGCTGAGATTAGAGGCTTGAGCCACTGTGCCCAGCGGAAACTATTATCATATATACAAATATCCGTGACATGTTGACGTTACCATTAATTATAAAATGAGAGGGTAAATGACTTTAGGGAAATTGTGAAAGATGCTAATTGCAGTTTTACATTTTATAACACATGTTTTTCTTGCTTCCAGGCATTTACTGTTTCTGTTACAACTGGAAAGATTTTCTTCAAAATGCACACACACAAAAAGAGTTTTCTAACATAATTGGGCAATAGACAGAAGACAGAAGATAAGGAAAAGTTGAAATTTAAAAAAAAAATCAGTTAACAACTTGGTATAACAGAAACTTGCTGAGATGCAACTGACATTTATGAACAAGATAAAAAAGTGAAAGAAAAACTAGGAAAGAAAGGAAGGAGCCGGGAAGAAGACGGATCAAGAAAGGAAGAGTGTAACCAGGAAGGGAAGTGGGAGGGGAGGAGGGAAACACAGAGGGGAGTGATAACATGTATGGCTCCTGGCTGGGTGGGTGGGCTGTCTGAAAGATCATAGTACGTCAGCCTGTTTGTTGAACTGCCCTAAATGTAAGAAATGAGTGGCCTTACAGGACGCCAATGTACAATTGGCCATCTGTGTGTTCTACATGCCTTATGGTATTTCTAAACCAGTATTTGATCTCAGGTATGCTCTAATACCATCAATTAATACCACTGGCAATACACAGCTAATAAACAGAAACTTATGTGTCACAAAAAATATTTTATTAAAATATAACCAAAATTTTAAAATTGATTCTCTACCTCTACAATTTATAGTACTAGTTTGGACTATTAACAATGAAATCATGTTAGCACAAATATCACATTTCCTTTTAACTAGAAGGAACATACACTATGGGAACAGCTTCAAACTGACCACAAAACCAGCTCCCCAAGTTAAGAACACATGGTTTCAGGAGACATATTTTAAACTCACATTGTGCTTTGCAAGCTGTACCAATCAACTTTATATTGCAATGGCTAAAGAAAAAAAAGCATTCTAAATTGTCTGTTTCTACCAATAATAATTTAAAATAATTACATGTGAGGTATTAATGAATAACTCAGAAGACTATATGCATTGTATCTTGGCTTATTTAAAACAAATAAACAACAACAAAAAAACTCTACACATTCAAAGAACTGCGAATTATTTCAGTAGAACGTTGTGTCCTAGGTCACCATGCTTTCTTTCTCTATTATTGTCAAGATCAATTTGCCAAAAAGCCTCTTACAATAAACACAGATATAAATTTCAAGGTTAGTAAGCTAAACTACTACTGGGAATAATGATACATTAATTTACTGATGAAGTTAAAATTGGTATAGAGAGAAGTAGAAAGACAGAGCTCTTAAGAAAAATGTATTTTACATGGAGAAAAAGCAAATATTCACCTGAGGAATATATAAAACCATAACTGAATTATGTTTCAACCATATAATGTGCAGTAATAATCACCTTTACACTAAAGCAGGAAAATAAATATGACTGGAAAATGAGGAATATAAATAAACTATTTAAGACTTTTAAGACAATACAAATACTGATGCATAATATTACAAATAATAGAAGAACAACCTGCTTATCAACTATAAGGTGTAATTTAATTTTAAATGTTCTAGGGCAGGGCTATAAAACAAAATGAAGTACAGCAGAATTGTTACCAAAGACATACCAATGTATCAACAAAGGGCAGAGTGATTCAAGGAGGAAAAAGTCCTATATTATACTGAAGCAAAATTGTTTGCCTTGAGTTAAAGAGGAAAACAGAACAAAATATTTCATGGTGGGCAAATGCATAACAAAAATTAAAATTTCAAATGATGTCTTTTTATAAACTTTCACATGTGAACTCCCCCACACGTACACAAACACAAACTATGTTTATGAAGTGTATCTCTTCAGAGCAGATTAAACTACCCTCTTAAATCATTCCAGGTAACCAATTAGTATATAAATATTGAGTTTGAGATCAGCCTGGCCAACATAGTGAAACCCTATCTCTACTAAAAATACAAAAATCAGCTGGGCATGGTGGCACACACCTGTAGTCCCAGCTACTCATGAGGCTGAAGCAGAAGAATCGCTTGAACTTGGGAGAAGGAGGTTGTATTGAGCTGAGATTGTGCCACTGCACTCCAGCCTGGGCGACAGAGCAAGACTCCATCTCAAAAAAAAAAAAAAAAAAAAAAAAGATGGACTTTGGTCATATCCAAGTTTAAATCATGACCTTATCACTGATTAGCTATGTGAGGTTATCATGTTACTTTACATTTTGGGGTCTCAGTTTCTTTATCATGAAAAGAGGAAATAGAAATAAGTCATCCAATGGTCTATTAGAAGGATTAATAAAATATACATATACATATATACACACATACAGGCACCCCTTGTAAATGGAGGTGGTTATTCATGCATCATTTCTCAATCACACAGATTATATTATTTGGTCTGGCTTAACATAAGTAACATACACAGCCTCTTGTCTACAGTAATTTCTAGAATCACGCCAAGTTAAATCCAACACCACCACCCTAACATGTTCCAATGCTTAAATCTCATTAAACAAGAAACATCAACTTTATTCCACAGAGATAAAAATGTTAATGCAAAACAACCTGAAAGGTAACCTAAAGATTTAAATTTGTGGCACAAGAATACAAGATAAAAATGAGTTCACAAAAAAAGTGAGAAAGGGGGAGAACGATTCAGTAAAAGTGCTGAAGTATTGGTCAGAAAAATCCTTGTGGACTATAGTATTAACAGTTAAATTAAGACATAAAAATACAGAAAAATATTTTTTCCCATTTCTAGGTTTTAAAAAGACTTTCTAAGTTTCAAAAGATATTGAGAAAATATTGGTTAGCTTTAATAAAAATATTTCAAAACATACTTATGTTTCAAAACACATAAAACAAAATTAAAAAGTAACCAAAATCTTAGGAAAGCAGTTGCAACTAATAGATATTTAAAAAATCAAGATCCTTTAATTTTTTTTTAAATAAAGGAACATTCTAAACCAGAAAAGAGAATAGAGCTGCTGGAAAAAAAAGAATAAGTATATAAATAAATTATAAATAACAGAAAAGGTAATAACTCAAATTCACTAGTAATTAAAAATAAGTAAATTAAATATCACTTTCCTCTATCATATTAGCAAAGATGTAAAAATTATACATTTCTTTGCAGGCAAGACATTTAAAAAGTGGGTAATACTTATTTAAAGTGAAAGGTATTAATCCAATCGAAAATTATCACAAAGGGATAACCAGGCTTTTTTATTGATGGAGAACCATGAAGATCACTTTGATTCTGATATGAGGGAGGAGGAAACAGGAAGGTACAGAAATCACAGGCTGAGGCTGCTATATGTTCAAAAATTCTTTCATTGCTTATACACTGTTAGTAGGAATGTAAATTAGTTCAGCTACTGTGGAAGCAGTTTGGAGATTTCTCAAAGAATGTAAAACAGAACTACCATTCGACCCAGTGAATCCCATTGCTGGGCATAGATCTAAAAGAAATAGCTCTAACCCAAAAGACACATGCACTCATATGTTCATCACAGCACTATTCACAATAGCAAAGACATGGGGTCGACCTAGGTGACAATCAACAGTGGATGGATAAAGAAAATGTGGTACATATGCACCATGGTACTACACTGCCATAAAAAAGAATGAAATCATCGTTTGCAGCAACTTAGATGCAGCTGGAAGCCATTATCCTAAGTGAATTAATATAGGAACACAAAACCAAATACTGTGTATTCTCACTTATTAAGTAGCAGCTAAACATTGGCAACTCATGGACATCCAGATGGCAACAACAGAAACTGGAGACTACCAGAGGTGGAGGGAGGGAAGGTAGGAAGAGAGAAAAACTACCTAGTGGGTAGTATGCTCACTACTTGGATGATGGGATCATTTGTATTCCAAACCTCAGCATCATGCAATATACCTATGTAACAAACCTGTACCTGTACTCACTGAATTTAAAAGAGAAGTTGAAATTATAAAACAACAACAACAATAAAAACCTCTTTCATCTAAGTATACAAGCAAATTTTACCAGAGACCTTAATATTAATAAGAATGGATGGAGCCAAAGAGCCCCAACTTCTTTGGGAGTGGTGGGAATAGAAATAGAGAAGCAAAAACTTACTAGAATATAACAGGTACAAAACAAACTTGTTTTGCCCCCCTCTACGTCTTCGATTATTTAAATTTTTAAAAGAATCCCAGATGAAAGCAAATATAACATGGAAAAGCCAATTGGATTCTTTCATTTTTGTTTTAAACAATGTTTTTCTAGGTGTAAATTAGAACAAATAATCATCTTTAAACAAAATTATAAAACAAAATGTAGCCATATATATCCTACTGAAATACAGATATTCTATATTCTAATCTTAGACATAATCTAAGCATGAAACTTGTTTTTTAGCTTCTATCTTTTGCTCCAGGACTATGTGCCATGTTCTATTGAATGAATGTTTGTGTGGCAGAATGTGATTGTACCATGAGACAGAATAGGGCAATTCAGGAGAGCCAGAAAGGGTATCTGTCATTAGAAACAAAAATTACTTGAAGTGGGAGAGTACTCCATCTCACTTGATGGTATTAAGAAATACCATCTTAATTCTTCCAGGAATTAAGAAATAATGCAAAGGAGTCTAATACAAGACAAGACACAGAGACACAAAAAATTAAATGTAGTATGAAGAACAAAAACAGAGCAATTACACTCAGACAAGAAAAGCTGCATTAATAAAATACTGGCCTTATGTAAATGATGAGTTAATGGGTGCAGCACACCAACATAGCACATGTATACATATGTAACAAACCTGCAGATTGTGCACATGTACCCTAGAGCTTAAAGTATAAAAAAAAATACTGGCCTTATAATTACCTAATACTAATTTTTATCCAAATCTTAACTAGCTACTTGAAAAGCTGATGTTTGGCGGGTTATGTTACCTATGGATGCCACAACTGCCCATTGATAAAATGGAAGTACTGAAGAAAAGCTTTCAAGTCCCACTTCCATAATTAATTTACTCTTCTCCTCTCAGGCTCTATGAATTATATGCCCTTCACTGTTACAGAAAAATTTTGGTTGGCAAAAAACTTCTAACAATAATAAAATAAGACTTGATTGTTCTGGTAAAATCCTTTATGCCTCATTCCAACCACAAAGTTCTTTGAGCTTTTCTTGGTGCTGCTGGTAGTGTTTTTGCTTATGTTTGTTGTTGTTATAATCTTTCCATACTAAGGCAAGCTTGGGTTTCCCTCCTCACTGGCTAACAGGAACTTGGTATATTTCTACGTCCATACCAAAGAAACTTCCACCATCCCAATCATATAATATTTATATTATTTGATACGCCACTGAGATCTATAAAATCCATACCTAAAACTCTTTGCTAAGGCACTTTCTCCACTTCTTTCTTTCTCTCTTTCTCTCTCTCTCTTTCTTTCTTTCTTTCGATATGGAGTCTTGCTCTGTCGCCAGGCTGGAGTGCAGTGGGGTGATCTTGGCTCACTGCAAACTCCGCCTCCTGGATTCAAGCAATTCTCCTGCTCAGCCTCCCCACTCCACATATTTTTTAACACAGGATAGTTATATGGGCAAACTATATCTGAAAAAAAGTTCCAAATTGAATTACAGTCCATTCCAAGCAATTAAGATTACCAAATTTTCCTATGAAAATACCAATCTTGTTTTCATTCCTAAGACAGAGATACAATTCAAGGTTAAACAAACAGAAGAGTCATATTCAATGTCTGGAAGATGTTTATAAGGTTTAAATAGTAGTGGAAACTGCTGGTAGAGCACACTAAAGTAAAAATAATTAAATTAAGAAAACTATAAGTCACTCCAAATTGTTCATGAAGCTTTACACTTGTTCCTGATATATACAATATTTCATATATAATGTAAGTACTTTTATGTATGATGGGCAAATAAAATACAATTAAAGGCAAAATAAATTTTATTTTTATTGAATATCAGAGCTAAAAGAAACAGCTGCTATTTCACAACTACTTTTTTTAAACGTCAACTTCCTTCTCTTTCAACATTTCTATTTTGAGGAGCAACTTCTTCTTCTGCCTGAAATGGAATATCACCTTTCAGGTTTGAGAATTTTCAGACCATGATTTTCTATTATTTCCTTAAAACCCGAACTATCTCTGCCCCAGTAAATGAAATTTGAAGGTTTACTAGTAATACTGGGAGCAATTTCATTCTGCAATTCTCCCGGCTACATGAGGATGGACCTATTCTCTCCTGAAGCTCTCTCTGGGCCTTTTGGAAGGCATGACACTGTCTTTAGTTTGCTAGGGCATCACTTAATTTACCACAGCAGTCAACACGGCCACAGCAACTAGCTGGTTTTTTTGACAGACTTCACCAAATTAATTACATAAACAGCATTTTTGGAATATGTATCCTGAATTTTTATTTGCTAACCAATATCATTTTGACTCTTGTTACCCAAATAAACTTATGAGTTCAGCAAATATCTATTTTCATGGTTACACACACACACACACACACACACGCACAACACTGATTGGTCCTAGAAAAAGAAACAAAATAATTTTTTAATTATTATTACCAATATGTACCATCTACTTGAGAGGCTTTCCTTCAATCTAATGAATCAAAATTGTAAAATATTTTAAAGTGAAAGGGGTATAAAGAAAATTATGTTTAAAATAAGTATGATAAAGTTTTTGTTTACTTCAAATTCTGGGACACTTGTTATATGCTAGGTCTTGGGGAAGCATAAAAGAATTAAATTTAAAAATCTGGCCATAAATAGATTACAGTCTCAGGCAGAAACAAAAACATAAAACACTATATTACCAAGCTTTGCAAAGTACTGGGACAGAGATTTATACAGGAGGCCAAGTCACAGAGTCTGAGATTAGACCAGCAGGACTTTCTCCATTCAGGCTAGAAGGCAAAGATTGGGAAAAGGGTTTTCAAGATAGAACAGCATAAATGATACAAGAAAAAAGCAATGCAATGTGGATTGTTTTGAGAAATAGGAGATGTTGAATACTGCCAGCAAATAAAATGGAGAGAAAGGGGAATATTCTCATGGATGGGCAAGAGAGATACAGACAACAGCCCAAAAGGAACGGCAGAAGATTAATATAGAACAAAAGTAGAAGGTATATGAACAAGAGACTCATAGTAAAGCCTGGTCTTTATCTATAAGCAGTAGAAAGACAGGGATGGGAGGGTTTTAGATTAAAAGCAATGGGTTCATCAGGGTGGAAGATTGACCCTTCTAAAAGTAATGCAGCAGGCTGGGCGTGGTGGCTCACACCTGTAATCCCAGCACTTTGGGAGGCCGAGACAGGCAGATCACCTGAGCTCAGGAGTTTGAGACCAGCCTGACTAACATGGAGAAACCCTATATTTACTAAAAATACAAAATTAGCTGGGAATGGTGGCGCATGTCTGTAATTCCAGCTACTCGGGAGGCTAAGGCAGGAGAATCGCTTGAACCCAGGAGACGGAGGTTGCAGTGAGCTAAGATCGCGCCATTGCACTCCAGCCTGGGCAACAAGATTGAAATTCCATCTCAAAAAAAAAAAAAAAGGAGTAGTGTAGCAGCTGGACTACTAGTAGAACAAATATGACTCTAGGGCAGTGAGATCCATGAGGAGGCTAATATTAATATTTCAAGCTAAATTCATTCACATTGCTTCAATAGATACTTAACACATAATACAAAAGGTGCCATTTTCATTTTGTATAATATACCTGCATATAAAATATTATTTATAAATATGATAACCAATGTCAGGATGGACTACAGAGCCAAAAATAATACTGACAAGGCATTTCAAGTTTTAAAACACTCAACCAGTCTTCAAACAAAATACATCCTAATGTAGACATTATCAACCAGTGTCACAATTTTGTATTTCTTCTTGATTTAAAGGAAAACTTTCTTTAGTTTCTTCTTATTGTAGTTCTTTATTTGCTTGCCTTGTTTTCTGCCCAAATTTCAACAAGGTACTTCAGAAACAAGACACCAGAAGGAATAAAAACAAAACCAATAAAAAGGGGTAAGAAAGCAATTATCATGCTAGTATTTATGCAAAATATAAAGCAAAAAATAAAAGATACTGAATAAAAATCTGAAATTACAATCTTGATCATGAGATATTACTCAAAGGCAAAAGCAAATAAAAATTGATTGATGAACTTAGCCAGTTAGATTCTATAACTGGGAAATGCCCATTCTAGATCAATCATGGTTGTATTTTCAAAATAAAGATATTGTCAAAAATCTAAATCAAACCCACTAATAAAATGGAAATGGTAGGCAGAATTGGAAGAAGTACAAAGATTCACATGATAAAACAAGCATTAAATGAATGTTAAAATACAGTTTAAGCTATCAATTAGATTAGCCTTAAGGTATTTCTGAAGTAATAAAATTAATTTTGAAACATTTTGCATCATTTGAAAAGTTATATACGCATTCAACAAAAGTGATACTGCACAGCTATTGGTCTCATTTTAAAATTCTTACTTTACATTTAAACATATTCTACCTGTTGTTTTAGATCTGGCTTATCCTATTTTAGAATGGGCTGATTTCTGTATTTCAGCCCTAACACAAAATCTGTGCCAGAGTATTAGCTTTTCCTCATATCTCTAATGGTGTCCAGTTTCAGCTCTACAGCAGCATCAATCTCATTTTTGTTTTTAACTTAAATATGTAGTACAGAAAACCCTTTGGACCTATAATCACCATCTATAACCTAACTTAACAGTTCTAAATATCATGCTAATGCTGATAGTTCTACATTCTGAAAAGCAATCAAGGAAATTTTCATTATGTCAGTAGATAACTCTCCTCTAGTTAAGGCCACAGTTCTAGTGAAACAACATAATTGACTTTCTAGTCCATGTGTAGTACATATAAACATACAAGTATATATATTTCATGAGCTAGAACCAGAAAATACATAGAAAACAATTCTTTCTGTCTCCTTCAGTGCCAATGCTTTTAATGATAATCCAGAATATGAAAAACCATAATGAAGATGAACATGCTACAGCACCGTGAACATACACAGAAACATATTTAAAGTGCTACCTGTGATGACAGGAGAAAAAGAACTATTAATGCATAGGAGGAGATGTTAATTTTAGTTTGAGATTGAGTAGGGAGTCGCAGTTTTTAAGAATCCAATAGCAAGTGACCTGGACAAGCAGAGAACTTCTCCTCAGTGCTTGCCTTTGGCACCGTGGATTAGGAAGACTGTTCTCACTTCTCACCACCCCAGGTTCTCTCTAATCCCAAAGGTACTATTTCACTTCAGTGCACTGGCAAATGGAGGTTGGCTTCTTTTATAAAAAGACCCCATGTTACCCCAATTCCCAGCTTCCACATTTTGACACTGACTACTGCACCTTCATACGTTCATCTGAATGTTTCCCTTATAATCCATGTCTAGACCACTCACTACGATAAACTTAACTGACACTAATGTTTTAATACCGACATAAAAGTAAATAGGACTTTACCAACTGGAAGACCTCGAGTTTGACAGAATGAAGAGACAGAAACTTACTGATAGGACACAATATGAAATTGGTGCTTGAGAGCTGTTCCTACCACACGCAGGAAACGTCTTGTGAATGTACCCGGCATTCTCAACAGCAGTACACAAAACGGCTCTGCCACCAACAACATTCTTACCCAGCAGGCAGCCCTCCTCATTAGCTTTGACATGCCACACAGCCCTTTGCTTACTGATGCAGTGCAGCCAACAGGGAGAGAGTTTACGAGTAACAGCGAGACTGAACTGGCTAATTACTTACCTTCTCACTTATGGCAGGCTTGCTTGTTTAACTTTTTGTTTCCTCTCTTGTCATAGCTCAGAGCCAAATGGTTATGAATCAGCAGAAGTCTGAACCTGACAGTTAGAAAGAATACATTTTCAGAAAAAATTGGAAATTAACATTCCCTCCACTGCAGTCTTTCTTTCCTTGCCCTCTGTGTGCATGTTACTCTCCCGTTTTCTCTCTATGCAAGGCAGCTACGTAGTGGTCTATAAATATTGACCCTGACACTTGCTCAGTGCTTTACTTGCTCATGGCACAGGTCTGTGTTACTGAACACCGTGGTAATACTCCGGCAAAGTTCTCAGCTGCTCAGACAAAGCTGTGGATTGGCTCACTACCCAGCAACCCTGTGCTTGCCTGGAAATACCATTCTGCTGCCAGCTTTACAGATGCTATGGGCCTTTCCTGAGGCCCAAATCAGGCACAGAAGGGCAATTATTAAGTTTGTCTGAAGAAATACAGCTTTCCTCAGGTAGGTGGAGAAAAGTGGGGCTAGGTGGAGTCAAAGACAAGAAAGGAAATACTGCCTTTGTTTCGGCCAAACAACACAATCTCAAACCCTTTATAAAAGTCATATCTAAATGTCAGTCAATCAAGCTTTATAAAACTTAATTATGACACATTATGAATCCAAATGACACAGGAAAGCAGTTTTGTAATTTTTTTAATATTGCTTCTCAATGAGAAAGGCTGCAGTGACTAAGTAATTGGTCACAAAAAAATATGTCAACGTAAGTTCATTTAGAGAATGACAGAAATGTATAGGAAAGTATAACATTAATCAGATACATCATATATTTAGTGAAAGATGCTAAAATATAACCTAAAATTATAACTCAACACAATATTTACAGTTTAAATATAAACTTCTATATTTATAACAACTTAAAAATTTAATTTTTAGATTAAGGATAGATTCCAAGCCATGACACTACAGTACATGGTTTGCAGGTGACATAAACAAGATACATAGTATCTCCATATACCACCTATAAGGTCCACAGTATAAATGAGTAGAAAATAAATCAGCCCATATTTTTTACTTCTTGTCAAAGATAATCATTTGTTTGCTTTACTAAAATTTTCTCTTGATTAAATCAAAGGTAAAGGAAACTTTTGGGAGACTCTGGTCACTTACTCATCTTACAGATAAGAAAATCAACCCCCAGGCTGGTTACTTTGCCCAGGGTCACATGGCAACTTTGTGACAGAGCCAAAACTAGAAACCTTGCCTGATTACTTACAGTAATGTGTTCCTTCTGTTAGAATGGTGGTTCTCAAAATCATCTTTAGGCTCATCTTCATATGAAAGCTTACTAAAATCTTACCAGTAAATGCAAATATTACAGCCAGAAAAATAACCAGCATAGAAGAAAAATAACTTTCTACAGTGTAACTGACCAAAAAAAAAAAAAGTTACACATAAGAATTAACTTTCAAACTATTTGAAATCCACCTCTCCTTGCTTAATGCAAAAATTAATATTCATCTAATGAATTAACTTATTGTCGACACAGGTATATAGGTGCTGAACAGGCAAAGATAAAACATAGTTCCTACTCTTAAAGACCTTCCAGGTCTAATTCCAGAAAAACAAAATAGAAGTTAAATGTAAAACAACGTAGCAAGAAGACTAGAGGAGGAAACCATGGGAGAAGGGAAAATGAGCATCTGAGCCAAGAGGTAATTCCTCACTCCAGACTTCTGGATCCTAAAGAATGGGCAGAAGGTAGTGAGGCAAAGGGAAGAATAACACAATCAAGACAAAGGCAGGAAAGAGCACAACACATACTTAGAACTTCAAATAGATCTTTCTTGCTGGAGCTTAGAGTGTAAGACAGAAAGTAGTTAAAAACAAAACAAAACCAACTAGAAGGAATAAGGTGATGAAGGATTTTATAAGCCAGGTTGACAAACTTGGGTTTTATAGAGTAGGATAGCCTACCAGGTTTTAACTGCCTTTATTCACAGACTCTTAAAAGAATTTTGAAAAATTATGTAACCATTTACACATTACCAAATTGACATATACAAATTTTCACCTGTGGTAAAATATGTACTTGCAAAGAATTTAATTTCTACCCTATTGGAAATATTGACATTTTAAAACAAAACACATCAGCTATTTTAAATATACTCAATAGCATCTAAATCTACAATAATTTAATATAATCACTATGTATTTAAGTAACACACAGAGATACTTATTTTGGCAGCTGAAATTTACATTGCTATTTATTTTCTTGACCTTTATTTCCATCTCGCTGCCTCACAGAATTTTTACATATTTTAATAATTAAGTCCTCAGTTGTTCACCCTGTCATACTTTTTTTTTTTTTTTTTTTTTTTTGAGATGGAGTCTTGCTCTGTTGCCCAGGCTGGAGCGCAGTGACACTAACTTGGCTCACTATGACCTCCACCTCCTGGATTCAGGCAATTCTCCTACCTAGGCCTCCCAAGTAGCTAGGACAACAGGCATGTGCCACCATACCTGACTAATTTTTGTATTTTTAGTAGAGATGGGTGTTTTGCCATGTTGGCCAGGCTGGTCTCAAACTCCTGACTTTAGGTAATCTGCTCACCTCGGCCTCCCAAAGTGCTGGGATTACAAGCGTGAGCCACTGCACCCGGCCACCCTGTCATACTGCAATACAAATTTAATGCATTAGTTGAATTTTTAATGTTAAATTTTCTATGACTCCAGGATAATGCACCATAATAACATTTGGGATGGATAAGGGTGTGCTTTTCTCTTGTAAGGTAAGAGAAAGAGTGTTATGAATAAAGGACTATTCTTAGCCAGATCAATATTAATAAAGAGTTTATGTAGAAGTGGATAATCTAGACACTGATTCCATTAAAACTACCCATTCAACTGCCAAGGGAAAGAAACCAGTCTGAAAAGGCTATATACTGGGCTGGGCACAAGTGGCTCACATCATCTGTAAACCCAGCACTTTGGGAAGCCAAGGCAGAAGGATTTCTTGAGGCCAGAAGTTCGAGACCAGCCTGGGAAACATAGCAAGACCTTGTCTCTACAAAAAATTTAAAAAATTAAATAAAAAACTTAAATTAGGCAGGTGTGGTGGCACACACCAGTAGTCCCAGCTGATGTGAGAGGATCCCTTGAGCTCAGGGATTCGAGGCTACAGTGAGCTATTGACTGTGCCCCTGGACTCCAGCCTGGATGGCAGAACAAGACCCCATCTCTTTAGGGGGAAAAAAAAAGATTACATACTTTATGATTCTAACTATATGGCATTCTGGAAAAGGCAACACAATAGACAGTGTAAAGATTGGTGGTTGTAAGGAGATGACAGTGAAACATGGGATTTTTAGGGCAGTGAAACTACTCTGTATGATGCTGTAATTGCAGATGAATGATATTATGCATTTGACAAAGCCCACAGAACTGTAAAACACAAAGAGGGAGGCTTAATGTAAAAAGTCTCTTCCTCTGTCTTCTTGAGGCATGTGGTCTAGAGGGAGTAGAAGTATTATTTATCAAGGACTGTCCAAAAGGGGCTTTGGAAATATTATCTCTAACACTAAAAACAACATTGGCAGATGGTTATGTTTTTACCTTTTTTTAAATAAAGAAAATGAGGCTTAGTGTTACTAAGTGGCTTGTCTGAAGTCATGTGACTAATAAATTCTAGAACTGAGATTCAGCCCAAATCTGTCTGGCTGGACTACAGTACCACATAAAGCCTTTATAGCAGTCACTGAAGATGTATAGGCCCATGCCCAGGCAAGGTAGTGGATTAAACAGTGCACTCACAAACTCAGGACGGATTTGCTGTATCCTGCATTTCTCTCAAGGAACTGCTTGAATTTTAATATTGAGTATTGAGGGGTAGCAGAAAGATAGGACTAACAAATTAAGCAGTGGATTAAATTAAAGTAACTGATACACCTTACTAAAGAGAACTTAAAGGTTTTTTTAATCCTCAATTTGACTGATGGGCAAGGAATACATGAAGAGTCAAGCGGGGCTCTTCTCTGAGTGGCTGGGTCTCTGCCAAGGCAAGGTTTTGGGAGGAGAGGGCAACTTTGGAACATGGAGCTGGGAAGAGCAGATGGATTTAGTTTGGGACATGATGAACTTTAGATATCTGTGTTGTACTGAAGTATGTTCAATGGGCGTTTAAATATACTAGTCTAGAATCCTGGAGAGATGAAGACTGCATCAATTCAGTAAGTAGTTTTGTATTCTTGGTTTCCTGGTTCGAACCTTGTCACCATATAGTCTATTCTCAGCACAGAAGTAACAGAAGTCACTTAAAAACCTCACTCAGATTACTTTCATCTTCTAATCAAAGCCCTGTACTGCTTCCCCATTTTACTCAGAGTAAAAGCTAAAGTCCTTTTGATGGTCCATATAGCCTAGCCCCACTTTATTCTTTCATCTTGTCTCTGACAGCATGGACTAGGGACCCCCTCAGTTTCTCAGCTCCAACCCACTTGTCCTCCTACCATTCCTTAAATGTCCCTGACCAGTTTACCCTTGGTATCCTTCTATTTGCTATATGTTCTTGCAGAGAGCTGCATGGCTAACTGTTCACGTTCAAGTCCCTGTTCAAAGTGCACCTTCTCAGCAAAGCCTACCACTCTCATACTATTTAAAATTGCAGACTTCCTTGTTATTTGCTATTGCTTGTGTCTTCCCCATAGAATATAGGTTCAATAACAGCATAGACTTCAAGTCCCTAAACTGAGCCTTCTACATAATGAATGCACAATAAATATTTGTTAGATAAATTACTAAAATAAACATTTATGAGCAACACGCCAATAAAGGTGGCTCCCAAGGTCATGAGATCTCTCAGAAGTAGCATGTACAATGAGAAGTAAACAAAAATCAACATTTACAAAGTAGGTCAAGGAAGACAAGGGCATAAAGACTGAAAAACAATTATGAGGTCAGTAGAAGGAGAATGAAAAAGGGCTGAATGAGGACAGAGTCAAGGACTGAGGGGTCAACAATGTCGAATGTCATGGAAAGATTAAATATGAAAGAGACTGAAAAAGGCCATTACATACAACATTCAGAAAGTACTGTGATACTAAAAACCACTGAAATGCACAATTTAAAAGGACAAATTTTATGGTATATAAATTCTATTTCAAAAAAGCAGTTATTACAAAAGAAAAAGCACTGGCAGCTGAGCTGTTTTCATAGAAGGTGGGAGGTAAGCAAGGAAAGTGAGACAGGAATCAAGTCACTCTTTCAAAAAGTTCGGCCACGAAGAAAAGAAAAAGGATGGGGTAATGCTTTAAAACAACAAACAATACCTAATGTTAAATGACGAGTTGATGGGTACAGCACACCAACATGGCACATGTATACATATGTAACTAACCTGCATGCTGTGCACATGTACCCTAAAACTTAAAGTATAAAAAACAACAACAACAACAACAACAACAACAAAACCTCATTCCAGCATAGAGGTTGAGTACTCTGAAGTCAAGCAGCCCTGTGTTTTCTTCTTTCTTCAGTTACACTGTAAGTTACATATGTGACTTAGTTTCCTCATCAAAGAAATGGATTTAATGTTAGTACCTGCATCACTGGGAATCAATAATTCATTTTATTGTTGAATAGTATTTCATTGTATGGGTATGCCAGGTTTTATTTATGCATTCATCAGCTAATGAACATTTGGGTTGGTTTCCACTTTTGGGCCATTATGAATAATGCTGCTATAAACAAGTTTTTGCTTCAACTTATATTTTCTTTTTCTTTTTTGAGACGGACAGAGTCTCATTCTGTTGCCCAGGCTGGAGTGCAGTGGCATGATTTCGGCTCACTGCAGCCTCCACCTCCCAGGTTCAAGCGATTCTCCTGCCTCAGCCTCCCACGTAGCTGGGATACAGGCGCCTGCCACTACGCCTGGCTAATTTTCACATTTTTAGTAGAGATGAGGTTTCACCATATTGGCCAGGCTGGTCTCAAACTCCTGACCTAGTGATCCACCCACCTTGGCCTCCCAAAGTGCTGGGATTATAGGCATGAGCCACCATGCCCGGCCTCAACTTATATTTTCGTTACTCTTGAGTAAATACCAAGTAGTAAAACTGCTAATATGCTAATTTTATGTTTAACAGAATAAAGAACTGTCCAACTGTTTCCCAAAGTAGAATTTCACTGTGACTTTAATCTGCATTTTCCTAGTGATAAATAATGTTGAGCATCTTTTCATGTGCTTATTAGCCATTTGGCTATTTACTTTTGACTTTTAGTAAATATAATTTCAGAAAACCCCATGACCAAATAAAGCTTAAAATATGTTTTTGAGGACCCAAGAAAGTTGTACCTGGCATAAACAGAGCCACTTACTTGTTAACTGAATAAATAAACTAATAAATAAATGAATAAGGAATAAGAAATATTTTATTTATTAGTATATTGTTTCAGCTTTTAAGATGAATTTGAATTCCCATACAATTTCAATAGAACTTTTAGTAAGGAGAAGCAGCTTTGGGAAAAAAATTCAATTGCAAAGAAAATGTGCTAATTCTCTGTTCATGATTATGATAAATACCTATATTGGTACTTTTAGCTTGGTAATAATAAAATACTCTATCAGATCAATGTTAGGTAACTGAAATTGTAATCCTGTTACATTAATGCTTTAATTTAATGCTTCCTTGAAATTGGGTGTTAAGAAATCAAGAAGCTAAGTAGTGAATGATTTTTTTTGTTTTTTTTTTTTTTTTTAGACGGAGTCTCGCTCTGTCACCAGGCTGGAGTGCAGTAGCACAATCTCAGCTCACTGCAACCTCCACCGCCTGGATTCAAGTGAGTCTCTTGCCTCAGCCTCCCAAGGAGCTGGGACTATAGGCACGCACCACCATGCCCAGCTAATTTTTGTATTTTTAGTAGAGACGGGGTTTCACAATGTTGGCCAGGATGGTCTCGATCTCTTCACCTCGTGATCCACCAGCCTCAGCCTCCCAAAGTGCTGGGATTATAGGCGTGAGCCATCGCACCCGGCCGTGAATGATTTCAAAATATGTTGTTGACAAAAACTTAGTTGTGAATACTACAAATTTATGTAATGAGACATTCTTCAGGGGAAAATGGGTACAAGCAAAATATTAATAATCCAAGCTAGTCCTCATTTTTCACCTGAGGGAACAGGTGACGCTCAGTGTAAATGAATGAGGAGAAAGAAAATTGACTCTAGGATGTGCCTCGTTAGAAGTAAACTACAAACTGTTTTTATCCTTTTCTTTTCCCAAAAAAAAGGGGCTTTTTTCATACTTTAGGGACCTACCATTAGGCATATCACATACAGACTCACTTACCTTTAACTCTAAGGTTCTTTGTTCTCAAGTAATAAATAATTTGGGCTCCCAGGACCCCACAGGAAAATCATACATAAGTCTACCAACCTTACTGCTGCCACTTTATTGTAATACATACCCATTATTAGTATGAGAAGTATTGGCTGCTCAGTTAATAAATAGGTCATTTGTTCTTTTCAACTGAAATAATGTTGTATGTAAGTTGTAAACATGGAATAAACTAAATCCGGAAACCATAGCAAAGAATGGGTCTTTTTAAACTTTTATATGACATCACATAAACCAAATGGCAAACTAAACTAAAGCACTTTATCATTTATCAATAGAAATTGATCTTAAATTCATAGTGCATAAAATACACATAACCATAACCAATAATAAAACAACTATGTTTAATAAAATAAGGTAATAATGAAGAATGAAAAGCATCCAGAATATCAAGTTATTTTTGTTATAGTTGTTGCTAATTGAACCTATATTAAAAATTAAAACTTCACTGATTTCTCATCATGTTTAATAATAATAGGTGGGTTTCCAGCTGTATTATCAGTACTTCAATTTCTTTTTCTCCTAGAGCTAAATGTATATTTATATGACATGAAGGACAATATCAAAAGTGTTATTTAAAATAATAAATATTCGCAATATAATTTCAAGCATTTTCTACTTTTTAAAAAGGCTGCAGTTCTTAAAATCATCATATACCTGTAAGTAGAGATTTCTTACAGGTAAGGAATTAATCCTCACTAAATCAAAAATTTCTACAATTACTCCAAATGGAAATTAGATTAGGTCTATGTGACAAGAGACTGGATAAGAACATTTAATTCCATTAATCTCTGGATGATTCTAATATCCAGATGATAAATCATTATCTGACATTTTAAACAACTGTTTTCTTTCATTATAAAGGTGTAGCTGAATTCTCAATGTTTCTTTTTTAGAAATGACTCATTAAAGGATATTTTCATTCATACAGATACCCATAATTAACAATATGCTATTAATTTTATGAAATAGTTATGTCTAGAAAAAAAAAACTGCCGTATATTTGATTAGGCAGTGCAACCGGAATCTTAAGAATAAGAAGTATCTTTCGAGGGGGGGTCAAAAAAGTGGTCCTGAAACCATCCATGCCAGAGAGATTTATGTCAGCTAAAAGGAAAGAAGCAAAGATTGGTGGATTCCCTAAGACAAGCTAAAGTCATACATCAGAATGGAAAGGGGAAAATCCCAGGAAGGAGGGACTCAGCAAAAACCAACTCAATGGTCTCAATGGGAGAGGAGAATATTTGTCTACCAAGTTTAAACTGACTTTCACTGTTCATTAATTATATGGCAGTAGCTCAGAAAATATCACTGAAAGATTAAATTTAGGCAGTGAAAACAGGAATGTGGATTAAGTCTGAAAATTCATTAAAAAAACAAAAACACTGGTCTATTTTACAGCTCCATGATAAATACACTTTCATATGGAAGATTTAAATTGCAAAGCTCAGGAATATCATTATTCATTTTATATATGTATATATAATATATATTTTATATTATATTATATATTACATATATTATATATAATATGATATATATTACATATATATGATATATTATATATAGTATATTACACATATATGTATATGTATATATACATTATATATATTACATATACATATATACATATTATATATACATATATAGTATATATAATACATATATAACATAAATATTATATATTATATATATATATATTTTTTTTGAGACAGAGTCTGGCTCTGTCGCCCAGGCTGGAGTGCAGTGGCGCGATCTCGGCTCACTGCAAGCTCCGCCTCCTGGGTTCACGCCATTCTCCTGCCTCAGCCTCCCGAGTAGCTGGGACTACAGGCACCCGCCACCACGCCCGGCTAGTTTTTTGCATTTTTAGTAGAGACGGGGTTTCACCGTGTTAGCCAGGATGGTCTCCATCCCCTGACCTCATGATCCACCCACCTTGGCCTCCCAAAGTGCCGGGGTTACAGGCGTGAGCCACTGCGCCCGGACCATTTTATATTTTTAATCAAAATATATTTTTTAAAAAGAGGAAACAGTAAGAAATAAAACAAACTAATCTTTGTAAAAAATGAATGAAACATCCATTAATCTTGTTTGGTTCACATATAAAATGTGGTTGTTTCTACTTGCCATTCTGACTGACAAGGCCTGAAATTTTCTTGAAACGTGGTGTCAAAAATAACTAAAGAGTAATGAAAAAAAAAGGACTAAAAATGAAAAATCTCACTTCTATACTTTGGTAGATCTGAACATTGTCACGTAAAATACATTGTCAAGACCTGATTAAATTAGACTTTAAGATGGATGGAAGCAATTCTTTTGGTTTTTGAAAACTTTACGTTCATGAGATTACTTTAAAGTGGGTGAAAACTGACAGGAATGTACTCTGAGTTTTGTTTTGTTTTGTTTTCCATCCTCTAATTTACTTCAATCTGGTATGAGTCCTAGACTGAGCAAGAACAGAGGTGCAATTGAGCTGAGGAAATATAGTAAAAGTAGAAAACATAAGAATAAAGAAAATCCTTAAACTTTTTTTCATGACCCAATAAAGAGACGAAATAATGTTAACAAATAGCATGTCAATATAGTAATTAAACTACTTATGTTTTTGTTTTGTTTTAAAGGTAACTGGTATAAACCAATGAATCAAAATAATTGTTTTATATAAATACTTATGTTTGGAAAAATATATACAAACTGCCCCCTTATAATTGATACTTAACACCAGTAGAGAAAATGAAAGAATACAGTCCAGGAACCTCAAAAACATGTCTAAGGACTAAGGGATCCATGGTGCTTGGGTAAAACCTCTCTTACGGTCCAACTCCTAACAGTCTGTAGAAATCTAACGACTCACATTTATGTGGCACTTTATATTTTTATAAGTGCTCTTTCATTTGTTCATCGGGATAGGCAATAAGAAAGTATCCCTACTTTTCATATGAGGAAAGTGAACTTCAAAGCAGGTAAGGGAATAGCCCAGTGTGTGAATGTTCGAAAGAAATATAGATAGAAACTGAATTCAGGTCATCTCACCTTAAATCTTGGGCCCTTACTACTATATCTTTCAGTAACACCACAGGAACAAATCTCAGCAAAATTATTTTCCTATAGGAAAACACAATAATTACCATGGAACAGAACGAAGTCTTCCAATTTAGGGCATATATATTTTTGTTGACAATGGCCAACACACACACACACACACACACACACACACACACACACACACACACACAGCTCTTATTTTGGTTTCTCTGGTGTTGGTTAATGGCAGTATCATTACTTAGTCAACCACACTAAAAATTTCAGTGTCTCACTTCTGCTCTCCCCTATTTCCAATTAGTTACTATCTACTCGAGATTCTTGAGTATATTCTGAATCTCTGGAGCTTGTCTCCTTTTCTTTCCTCTGTTCCTACTGAAATTCAGACTTAGCTTTTATCTAACTTTAAATACTGAAATGATCACAATCTAGTCTCCCTGGCACCACTTTCCTTTCTCCTCCATCAATCTTCTATATTGCTACTAGGCTGATTTTTTTAATCAAGACCTCCTCTGGCAACAGAGGGTTCAAACTTCTCAGCATAGAATAAAGGCCTTTCCACCACCTTGACCTTGCCCTGTCCTTTCAGATTCATTTCCCCCTTTGCCCATAACAGAAATCCCACCTTATGCTCTCTTAACGTACCATGCCATCTGTTCACAGGAAGTGCCACGTGTAGACTTTCCATACCTCTGTTCACAGAATGACCTTCTGTAAACCTTTATTTCTATACAGTAACATTTAAGCCAGAACAGAACTATATCCAAATATGTGAGAATGCAGATTCAAATTAAAAGAAGGAAAACTACTTTGGATGCTGTAACTCTGGTATCAAGACACTGCTTTCATTGCTTGCTGTCTCCTTCTTAGAAATGTGACACTGGTAGCGTTTCCTCCTAAAAGCAGAAGGGAAAAGCGCACACCAGTTTCCAGGCTTACAGCAGCAAAGCTATGACAATACTGTGGTGTATTTCACAAGGACTTTGGGAACCTGAACAGAATTTCTGTCCTGAACACCAATTTTTCTTTCTCTGTTTAATTACCTGTGTAATTTTTAAAAACACGATAAAAATATGTCCATTTCAACTGTATGACTGTCCTTTTGAAAAACCTAGTCATCTAGCTATTAGGTAAAATTATGCATAGTAGTACTGTAGAGATTTTGAAGAAGGATACAATCTGAAGGGGCAATCCTAAGTAGTATTTAAGTGCTAAAATTATGACAAAAGTAGACATGGAGCTAATAGGGCCTCTACATAGGGATTCTTAAATATTTATGTGCCCAAGGACTGCTACAATTTCTTTTGGGTAGAATAATGAAGTTCAAAGTACACTGATGAAAGTTTTCATTGAGTTTACTGGCAATCAATACCATTTAAAAGCTACATTTTAAAATGCATATCAGGTGTTACTGGAAAATGCATCTATCTGAATAGCAGCTATTGAGAAGTTTATCAAAAAGAGTAAATAATGTATAAAAAGTCCCAAGTGAGTGATGAAAACCTTATTCAGATGACAAGCCACATATCAGTTGGAAGTCAGTGCACAGACTTATTGGCACCAACAATGTTTTCTTAATTTCCTAAGTGTGCATAACACCATGCCCTCCCCCTCCAATTGGCTTAGTATATCGTTTTTTATTGCTTTATTCTATTAAAAATTACTTCAACTCACTTACATTCCTGACAAATCCATTTTATAATTTTAATTAGCAGTTCTAATCCTTCTCATGGAACATTTCTTATTTATTTTATGCTTTCATTCAATAAACACTTGCTTAGTACCTGTTATGGGCCTGGCACTCTAGACACAATCCCTGTTCCCAGTGAGGCTAAAAGCTAGTGAGGGAGACAGACTGGTGGCTACATCACTACAATTACAATACGGCAAAGGCCATGAGATAAACATGCAACATAGAAAATAAAGCTTCCTGGAGACTGAGCTCAGAGAAGGCTTTGTGGAGGGGGAGGTGATACTTGGGTTCTTAAAATAGGAGACGTTAACCAGAAAGTATATGACAATTTCTAATATGGGACACTGTGGTAAGACCAAAATATGGCTTTGGAGTTAGGGCCTTAAGTGGTGGTAACAGGCTTAATATCACTGCCCTTAAATTTTCCATATTGAGACTATCACATTTCTAAGTGTACTTCCTCTCTGCCTGTTGACATTCATTTCATTCTAGGTCTCTACTCAAATTTTTTAAATGTGATTTCATGTAACTTTTTGGCAAAAATAAGATGTAATTATGAATATTACCAAAATCATTTTCAATTAGCATTTTTATTCATTTGTTTAAAAAACACTTATTGAGCAACTGCTATGTGGTAGGCTTAGTTTTAAGCGTTGGATATATGATGGTGAAGCAGCGTGTCAGGTATCTTCTCTCATGGACTTTACATACTAGTGGGAAAACAAACACTAACAAATGAATGTGATAATAACAAATAGGGAAAAAAAGCAATAATAAAATTTAAACAGAATAATGTGATAATATTTGGGAAAACAAAGCTTTAGACAGGGAAATTCAGAAAATGTCTGCTTAAAGCAGAGCCCTTGGAGCTGACACCTGAATGGTGAGAAAGAGCCAGCCACGTAAAGACCTGTAGGAAGAGCATTCCAAGCAGAAGAAACTGCTAATGGAAAGTTCCTTGGTTAAGAACAATCTTTAGTATTCAGGTGACAATTTTTTTTTCGTTTGTTTTTTTTTTTCTTTTTTGAGATGGAGTCTGGCTCTGTCGCCCAGGCTGGAGTGCAGTGGCACGATCTCCTCTCACGACAATCTCCGCCTCCCGGGTTCATGCCATTCTCCTGCCTCAGCTTCCCGAGTAGCTGGGACTACAGGCGCCCACCATCACACCTGGCTAATTTTTTGTATTTTTTAGTAGAGACGGGGTTTCACCGTGTTAGCCAGGATGGTCTTGATCTCCTGATCCGCCCGCCTCAGCCTCCCAAAGTGCTGGGATTACAGGCGTGAGCCACCGCACCCGGCTGACAAATTTTTTTTAATGGTAAAGAGGACACATGATGATGTCAAATAAGGAGATGGTGGCCAAAAGGCATGGTTGTTTTTGGCCAGTGGTTCTTAAATCGTGCTGCACATTAATATCAACGAGGACTTTTTTAAAAATCCAGATACCCAGGACATATCCCAAACCAATGAAATCAGAATTGCTGGAGTAAAAGGCAGATGCCAGTATTCTTTAAAGTTCTCCATGTAATTCTGATAATGCAGCCAAGGTTGAGAAGGACTAATTTAGGCCACAGTAAGAAATTTAAATTTTAGTCTAATTACATAAGCAGCCTTTGGAAGATAAAGATTTCACCTGAAACTTTCGTCATGCATCTGATTGTTTAATTCCTATCTGAATATTTGGTTTGTTTGTTTTGTTTTTTTTTAAAAAAAGGCAATACACCTTTGGATACATTTCTTTCTAAAGTAAATTCTCTTTAAGAATAACAAAAATGAAAGCAATTCTTGAAATGCTTGCCTCTAAAAACTCAAATAATTTAGGTGAAAATGAGTTCTTCTGGAAATACCCAACACAATTAAATCCATCTCAGATTCATTGTTTTTTATGTATTCTCCCTGTGCATTCTGGAATACATTTGCTTATAATTTGTGGGTAACTTTGAATCTGTTAGGAGGAAAAGATACTCAAAATGTAACACAGTATCTACATTTTGCTTACATTATTCTTTCTGATTCCTCCTAA